>NC_000012.12:113066188-113217703 GCF_000001405.40 Homo sapiens
TGAGGGCCAGGCTCTGGGTTCCCATCCCAGCTGCTTACTAAGAATCATGGGGTGTGTAGGCCGGGTGTGGTGGCTCACATCTATAATCCCAGCACTTTGGGAGGCTAAGGTGAGTGGATCACCTGAGGTCAGGAGTTCGAGACCAGCCTGGCCAACATGGTAAAACCCCCTCTCTACTAAAAATACAAAAATTAGTGGGCATGGTGGTGGGCGCCTGTAATCCCAGCTACTCGGGAGGCCAAGGCAGGAGAATCACTTGAACCCGGGAGGTGGAGGTAGCAGTGAGCTGAGATTGAGCCATTGCACTCCAGCCTGAGTAACAGAGTGAGACTCCGTCTCAAAAAAAAAAAAAAGAATCGTAGTGGGTGGGGAGATTTGTGACCTTAAGTAAACCACACTCCCTCCCTGAGCCTCTGAGCCTCTGTTTCCTCACCTGTAATATGGACCTGATGATAGTACTGAACTTGTGTGATTGTGGTCACTATTCATTCATTCATCAGGAGTTTCATGAGCACCTACTGTGTGCCAGGCACTGTCCGGGCACTAGGAATGTCACAATCAACAGGACAGACACAGAAGCCCTCAAGGTGCTTCTGTTCTGGGGGTGAGGGGTGGAGTGATGATGGGTGTGATGCAGGAGGCCAGGCGCCAAGGAAGTCCCAGCATATAGGACTGTCCCCTACCTTGGAGCCCAGGAGCTGCCGGGCTAGGAGCTGAGTCTCCTCTAGGTCCCGCATAGTTGTGTCCTTGCTCGGCCACCCTGGCCAAGCGCCTCTCCCTCTCTGGGCTCCTTCCATCATCCCTCTGGAGCTGCTCCAGGCTGCTACTGCTGCCTGCACAGACAGCAGTGGCAGGCCGGTGACGGGGTGCATGAGGGAGTCTGGCGCTGGGCCCTGGAGCTGAGCACCCTGAGATGCAGAACAAAGGACGAGGCAATCAAAGGAGGCTGCCAGGACAGTCCTGCCAGCAGCTGCAGCACAGCCACCTCTTGTCCCGATGACCGACTGGGCCTTTGTCCCCTCCCCCTCCAACTGCAAGCAGAGCACGGTAAGAGGAAGCACAGAGTTTACCTGGAATACCACCTTCCCAGGGCCCTCCCCCTGGCTGGGGTAAGCATTGCCCTCCCCAGCTTCCTCTGTTCTAGGGGGCGAAGGTTCACTTGTTCCAAGGTGTTACTCACCTGGCCCTGTGGAAATGACAGTCAGGGAGCCTGGGTCCAAGGCCTGTCTCTAATTTGCCAGGTGATCTTGCCCAAGTTTCTCTCTGCAGCTCAGCTTACCCATCTACACAAAGGCTGCAAATTCAGATGCTTACAGGGCCTGGGCAACTAATAGAAGTGTGTGCAGTGTCTGGGAAGGCAGAGGTTTTTTAACTGTCTTGCTCTCCAGTGCCTGGTATGCAGCAGGTGCTCAATAAATACTTGAAGGCATGAATGGGGCCAGCATAACTCAGCTCCTGCTCACTGTTGCCAAGGAGGCCAATTGTTGTGGCCCCACCCTTGGATATCTGGGGATTTCTGAAATCTGGACTGGTGTGAATCTGCCCCAATTTTTAAATGTGAGGCCATTTGAGGTGGCTCATGCCTGGAATCCCAGCACTTTGGGAGGCTGAGACAGGAGGATCACTTGAGCACAGGAGTTTAAGACCAGCCTGAGCAATGTAGTGAAACCCCATCTCCACCAAATAAAAACAAAAAAAAAAATAGCTAGACATGATGGCACACACCTGTGATCCCAGCTACTCAGGAGGCTGAGGCTGGAGGATTGCTTGAGACCAGGAGGTGCAGGCTGCAGTGAGTTATCATGGCACCACTGCAATCCACCCTGGGCAACAGAGTGAGATCCTGTCTCAAAAAATAAATAAATAAATAAATACAGGTCACTATTTTTTAAATGTAAATAGCATGTGAACCAGAACAAAACCATATCCGCCCAGCTTGCAGTCTCCAGCCTAGTCATGAGCAGCATTCAGTTAGGTTCATTCAGATGTATTTGGTTATTCATTCATTTATTCATTCATCCAACATTTTGCAAGGACCTACCTCCCTGCACTCCTGACCACAGAGGGATGCCAAGGTGACTGTAAACCAGCCCAGCCTTGGAGGGGCTGCCAGGCCCGAAGGAACACAGACACCTCCGCACCTAGTGAGCTATGTGCTTTGATGGGAGCATTGCAGGCGCAAGGTGCTATGGAGTCCCCAAGGAGCGAGTGGTTTGCCCTAAGGATGGCAGAGAAGATTCCAAGAAGACAGAGTGCTTGTGCTGAGCCAGAAGATTGAGAAAGAACTCAGCAGGGAGGCCAGTGGGGTGGGGTGGGTAGGACACTCTAGACAGATGGAACAGCATATGCAAATACAGAGGCATAACCGCACACACGGTATGTTCAAAAAATAGCTGGAATTTTGGTGTGGTTAGAGTGTGAGGCTGTGCAGACAGCTTGTGATGGGCTTCAGAGGCTACTCTAAGGAGTTTAGACTGATTCCTAAGGGCACTAGGGAGCTATTGATAGCTGTGGAGCAGAGGAGTGACACAGTCCAGCCTTGAGTCTGTGAAAAATCCCCCCGGCGCCATGTGAGAATGCACTGAACATTGCAAAGGGTGGACACTGGGACATGGGGAGGAGGCCCCTGCAACAGTCCAGGCTAGCACTCTGGTGGCATGGGCCAGAGGGCTGACAGTGGAAGTCGGGGAAGTTCAAATCCTGACTAGATTCAATCTTCACTTAGTAGCCCAGTGGCTATGTGACTCTGGACTTCAGGCAAATTGCTTCACCTCTCTGTGCTTCACTCAGTGTTTGTACAAGACAGTGATCGTAATAGTTATCATTATCATATGTTTATTATCATTATTATCATAACAACCTGCCCCAGTCATTTTGTGGCTGAAGAGTTGACTTACACGAAGCATTTAGAACAGCGCCTGGCACATAGTAGGCCCTCTGGGAGTGTTTATTATCATTATTATTTTATTATTATTACAATTATGCCATTTCACAGATGAGAAAGGAGCAGTTTGGAGGGCTCAGGCTGTGGAGGACTGTCCAGCCCTCTGTCCCCTCCCCCTCCACTTCCTGCTTTGCTAGGGATCTGAATCCCCTGCTGGGTGTGTGGGAAGCCAGGTGACCAGAAAGCCCCCCATACAGCCCATGGCGTATGAGTGCCCGCCTCCGCCTGCCAGCAGCCTCCAAGGTGGTAGCCTCTCCGAGTGCCACGCAGCCCTTCAGCCTTCCTTAGGCAGCACTGCAGACCCCCTCTCCTCCCCTTGTCTCCCCACCACCCTGGCCTGGCTTCCAGCAGACCCTGGAGAACCTGGGCCAGCTTCAACCACAAGGAAACCACTAATGGGCCACAGCTTAGCCTGATGAATCCCAGAGGAGAGTTTGGAGGGAAACAGAACACTGCGGGATTATTGATCATGGGGCAGGAGCTGGTGAGGCAGCCTGGATCCACAGGCTGCAGCTCGAATCCCAGCCCAGCCGGTGCCCCCAGCCAGACTTCCACGTCTTCTTAGGGAGCCTCAGTCTCCCCATCTGTCCGATGGGGCTAATATTAGCACACACACCCCTGGGGCTGCTGTGAGGACTGGGAGATGATGTGTGTGAGCCCCTAGCACAGTTGCTGGCACTGCGGAGCATTCGGTAAGGTGTTGGGTGCCGCTGTTGTCCTTGTTGTAGGAGACAGGTGAGCAGCCATGCAGATGCCAGCTAAGGGGCTATTCCAGAAGGTCACATAGCAATCCAGGGTTGGAACCTCAGCCATGTCACTTACTTACCATGCAACCGCTGTGCCTCAGTTTCCTCCCCCAGAACATGGGCTCATGAGACTAAGTCAGAGGGAACAGCAAATGAAGCAAGGTGGCCTTGTGTAGGCTCCAGCTGGACCACTCACAGATGGCATCCGGTGTGCTCCTAACTGCTCCGTGCCTCTGTTTTCTCGCCTCTAAAATGGGGCAATAACACCCCCACCTCCTAGGGGTGCTAAACACACTCTTTCGCTTGAATGAGCTAAACACAGCCTGGGGCAGAAAAGTGTGCTCTCTGAGTGTGGATGGCTGTTAGTATTATGACTTCTGGGTTGGTGAAGGATTCAGTGAAGTCTCTGACTGGGGCCCAGCCACTGCCCAACCCCCGGTCACAGGCCTCAGCCTGTGGTGGGACTCCCCCAGCCTGACAGGATGTCCCATGACCGCCTCCCACGTGCCCCCTTCCCGTCAGGGTCTGGGTGCCCCCAAACTGAGATCACTTCCCTCCGGGAAGCCACCCCCAAAGGGAGGGGTTCCCTGCTGGGCCTTGAAGCTGGCCCAGCCCAGAGAGGAACCGTTTAGAGGCTGAGGGACCAGCAGGAGGAAGGCTCGGGGGCTCAGAACCCTCCCCCTTCTCCATGGAGTCAGCTGCTTCTTAAGGCCAAGAGGTGGGGGCTGAGGCACCCACATACCCACCTCTAGGCAGTGGGTTCAGATCGGGACCATGCTCTAGGGCAGAAACCTCACACGGCTAAACAACGGAAAGTAAAGCTGAAGTAGTGAGCTCTCCATCGCTGGAAGTATCCTAGGCTGTGCTACCACTTGGTGAGGTTGAACCCCATGGAACCAGTCCAACCTGGGCCTGCCTTTACTCCACGAGTGTGGCATCATTCCCAGCCCTCTGCTCTCACCCTCCCAAGAGTTCACCTCTCCGGGCCTCAGTTTCCTCATCTGTAAAATGGAAATAGTCCTGGTCCCTCCCTGGAAGCAATGGTGTGAGGATGGAATGAGTGAGTGCAAGGAGAGTGCTGAGTGCAGCATGTGCCATACAGTAGGTGCTCAATAAATGCTAGCCTTGGTTTCCCTGATTCTCCATGATGGTCTCAGCCTCCAGGTTTCCAGCTTCCCTTTCTTTTCATCTCTCAAGCTCGTTCTATCTCTGACTCCAGCTCTCTTGGTATCTGCCTCAGTTTCCCATGTTGGCCTTGGCCTGTCTCTGACAGTCTCTTTGATCATGTATGTCTCTCTCTGTCTCTCTCCATCCTGCTGTCACCCTGTCTCTGCCCCAGGCATGAAGCAGTCACTGGCAGCTGTGGCTGTGGCCGCCCCCACACCCGGTCTCAGGGGCCCAGCTTGTGCAGTCCTCCAGCTGACACTGACCAAAGCCCCTTTCTCCAGTTCAGCTGGAAGAAGCCTGGAATTTTTCTGCCAAACATTTTTAAGCAACTAGGGAGGAGAGAGAAGGGGAAGACAACAAAGGCAGAGACACAAAAACAGGCCGAGGCAGAGGCACGGAGCCCATGTTTGTCACAGGCCCCTAACTGCCTGGGGGACGCAGACCCTGTGGCCAGCACAGCAGGGTGCCCTGAAGGCCAGAGTGGGGTGTGGTCTGCTCTGGGCCACCAGCCTGAGGCCCAGCCTCTTTCCCAGGCTGAAGAAACTCCAGCCCCTTCTTAGACCCATTGTTCTGGCTGAAAATCTAGGCCATGGCCACTGCGGAGGAGAAGGAGCATTTCCACCACTGCTCCCTTAGAAATCTTGAGATCGAAGTCCAGGCAGGTCACCAAGGAACCAGCTGCCCACCCCCTCGGCCTGGTCCATGGCCAGCCTGGGCCGGAGAGGCGGACGGATGGGCAGGCGGGCAGCGGCGGGCGCTGCGGGGTGCAGGGCCCAGCGGGGAGGACAGCAGCTGCCCTAATTACTCCTGCTCTCCAGGTTCCAATCTTGTTTCAAAAGGACTCCAGGGACACAGCCTTTAATAACTACCAGTAAACAGGCAGGAAAATCGATACCTGGTAAATAGAGCCCTGGAGAGAGGGAGGCCTGGGCTAGCTGGCCCTGACGGGCTCCCAGAGTCCTTTGCTGCAGAGCTGGCCAACGCTGATGTTGAGAATCCTCCTCCTGGCCTGAGGGTCCTCCCCAGGGACCCCTCGAAGCTTGGCCTCCACCCTGGGGGCTGCTTGCTCTCCAATCTCCACTCCCTCTCCATCAAGCCCAGATTTTCCTCTTTCCCACTCCTCCAAGTGCCAAGTAGGTTGCCCGTCTCGCTTGCAGATGTCTTCTTTGCACCAGGCTTTGTGCCTGGTGCTCCAAACATAGTTGCATATCTGACCTAGTAGTCTTTGTCCTCCCAAAAGTGATCTACCAATGAGGATGACTAAGAACAAAAACAAATAATGACAGTGTGAGGACAGACATGCAATAAAAGACTGCTGCGTTTGCCAACTATAGCAACAGAACAGAGAAGCCCATGTTGGAGGAGATGAGCACATGGAGGGCTTTGCTGGATGAATAGGAGTTTGCCAAGTGAACAAGGGCTGGGGGAGGATGAATGTGGGTAACATATGTAATATCAGCCATTGTAGCTGTATTCATTGAGTGCTTACTAAATGCTAAGTGTTCTGCTAAGCACCTTTGCCTATACGTTATCTCATTTTGTTTCCCCAGTAATTCTTTGGGGTAGATATTAATACCCCCATTTTATAGATAAGGGCACTGAGGCTATGTGTGGTACCAGCCAGGATTTGCACAAGACCTGAGAGATTTTCTTTTTTTTTTTTTTTTTTTTTTTTTGAGACAGAGTCTTGCTTTGTCGCCCAGGCTGGAGTGCAATGGTGTGATCTCAGCTCACTGCAACCTCTGCCTCCTGGGTTCAAGCGATTCTCATGCCTTAGCCTCCTGAGTAACTGGGATTACAGGCACGTACCACCACGCCTGGCTAATGTTTGTATTTTTTAGTAGAGATCGGGGGTTTCACCATGTGGGCCAGGCTGGTCCCGAATTCCTGACCTCAGATGATCCACCCGCCTCAGCTTCCCAAAGTGTTGGGATTACAGGCATGAGCCACTGCACCTGGCTCGACCCGAGAGACTTCTGAGTTGCTTGAATCACTTCACTCTGCACCTCCTATCCCGGCCCCTCCCCTGCCGAGCTCAGGATTTGGCACACAGGGGAAGTTAAATAAGGCGGGTTCCCATTGCTTCCCTTCCTATCCTGCACATTTTTCAGGTAATACACTGCCTTCACCTCACCAGGAGCTGAATGGTGGTACTTCAGGCACATCAGCCTTGAAGATCAGTCATCACAACCCCTCATTTTGCAGGTGGGGAAACTGAGGCCCTGAGAGGGGAAGACCAGCACACAAGAGCAGGTGGGAGCAGGATCCAGGGTTTTCTCTCTAACTCACCTCCTCCCGGGCCTACTGTGGAGGAAGCCCCATCACCAGGGAAGAAATCAATCTGCACACACTCAATTAAAATGATAAATCAGGCATCAGAGTGAGGCTGCCCCAGAGATGCAGGGGAAGTTTTTGTCTGATTGGCTGGAACATGGTAGGTGCCCAGGGACCTTATTTCCTGGGGCTGGGCTGCCAGTCCAACCTCTCCACCTCTTCAACCCCGCCCCTTTCATATCAATAGCCATAGCTCCGTGCCTCGATTTCTCCAGCTATTGGGGCCTGTCCAGTTGGCAGGGCACAAGGCTAGTCTGTAGCCCTTGTGATTCTAACAGAGGAGAGGGCAGAGGACAAGCTCTTTCAGCCCTGAGTAGGGACACACCAGTGTGGAACAGTCTGAGTTCCCCTATCTGGTTGCAGATCCCTGGGCCAGGCACCCGAGGAAGATGCCAATTAACAATGGAAATGCCTTCCAGGTTTTGAGGTCCTACTGTGTGCAGGTACTGTGCCAGGTGCTGGGAGTACAGCAGTGAGCAAAGCAGACAAGATCCCTGACTTTGCAGCTGACAGCCTAGAGTGAGGATACGCAGCATAAAGAATGCATGCAGATTAATACATCATGTCACAGCCTGGCGCAGTGGCTCACACCTGTAATCCCAGCACTTTGGGAGGCTGAGGCAGGTGGATCACCTGAGGTCAGGAGTTCGAGACCAGCCTGGCCAACATGGTGAAATCCCGTCTCTACGAAAAATACAAAAAAAATCAGCTGGGTGACACATACCTGTAATGCCAGCTACTTGGGAGTCTGAGGCAGGAGAATCGTTTGAACCTGGGAGGCAGAGGTTGCAGTGAGCCGAGATCACGCCACTGCACTCCAGGCTGGGTGACAGAGAAAGACTCTCTCTCATATATATATATAGTCAGTCAGGTAATGCCAAGTGCCAGGGAGGAAAATAAAGCAAGCTCAGAGGACAGCAATAGGAGGGCTGCACTTTTAGATGTTTGAACACACACCTGTAAGAAAGAAGGGAGGAAATGATGAGAACATCTGGGAATGGTGAGGTCATATTCCAGGCAGAGGGAACAGCCAGTGAGAAGGCCCTGAGGCTGGACAGTGCCTGGTGTATTTGAGGAACAGCAAGGAGGCCAGGGTGGCTGGAATGGAGTGAGTGATAAGGGGGAGGTAGACAATGCCAGAGGAGGACAGGGCCCCACAATGTGTGATTTCGTTGTAGGTCATGGCAAGGACTTTGGCTTTTACTCCAAGTGAGCGGAAGCCAGGAAGGATTTTGAGCAGAGGAAAGATGTGATCTGACTTGCATTGAGCAGGATCCCTCTGGCTGCGGTATGGGAAATGGATTACAGAGGCCAGTCATGAGTCTACTGCAATGGTCCAGGCAGGAGAGATAACATGGCGGGGACTGGGTGGTGTGAGTGCAGTGGGGAGCAGTGGTCAGATGTGGATGTGTTTGAAGGTGGAGATGACTGGATTTACTGACAGATTGGAGGTGGGATATGAGGTAGAAGTCAAGGATGAGACCAAGATTTGGGGGTCCAAGGAAGAGCATCCGGAAGCGCAGGAGCTGCCAGGAATTGCTATGTGAAGACTTCAGGAGGAGCAGGTTTGGGGCAGGGGAGAGCAGAGCTGAGTTCAAGGTGCCTGTTAAACCTCTCCAGGGAAGGGTCATGAACCTGGCTCCCAGGGGAGAAGACGGGGCCAAAGATGGCAGATTTTGGAATCATCAGAGTAGACACGGTATTTATCTCAATTGATCCTCTCAGCAACCCCACAAGCAACTGTTGCTACAGCTGGCAAACGCAGCAGTCTTCTATTGCATGTCTGCTTATGCCCATTTTCAACATGAGAAAACTGGGGCCCAGAGATGCTGAGTTGCCTACGCACAGTCACAGAGCTGGAAAGTCAGAAAGTCAGGACTTGAAGTGAGGGCTGTCTGCCTCCCAGCCCTGGGGTCCCACCCAGACCCTCTGCAGCTGTTCTCACTCACTCCTCCCCCAAATACTGTGTGAGAGGGAAGGGCTGGGTCATGGATGATCACCCCTCTTTTTGAGATGGGGCCACTAAGGCCTGAGGAGGCTTAAGGGACTTTCCCGCAGTTGAGGGGAAGTCAAGTGTGCAGCCTTTCTGCAGGTGTGCCAAATGAACCCAGCAAAAGACTCACTTCATCAGCCCCAAGACACAGAGCAGGCTAAAGGCTCTGAGAAGTCCTGCGGCCTGGACCTTGGGTTATCTCTGGTTAGCCCAGAGTTTCCCGTGGAGCCTTGCTGTCAGGGGAGCACGCAGAGCTTTGGCAAACATGAAGCTGTGGTTTGGAGTAAAGCCTCAGTGCCCTCCTTTATGAAAGGGGGCCCACCTGGCAGTCAGCAGTTGTTTGTTGAAGGAAGTAACAAATGAAACAAACAGATGAATGAAAGTAACAAATAAGCAAATGAAGGAATGGACGAATGCAGGGATGAGCACAAAGTGTGAATGAATTAAAAAAAAAAGAATCCATTTGTGACCTAATGAATTTATTCATTCATTCAACAAATATCGCTCGAGCACCTGCTGTGTGCAGGTGCTGGGGATATAGCAGTAAATAAAACAAAATCCCTGACCTTGTGGCTATTACATTCTAGCGAGGGGGGGACAGACAGAAACCAAGATAAATGGGTAGAATGTGAAGTATATCTGAGGGAGAAAATGGAGCGGGGAAGGAGAGAGGGGAAAGTACGTGGGGGGTGCACATTTTTAAATAGGATGATGGTAAATGAAGGAATGTCTGAATGCCTGAATACGGGAGTGGGCTGAAGATGGAGAATACATAAAGGTATCAATTTAAAAAAAGCATAAGGGGCCCAGGGGCGGTGGCTCACACCTGTAATCCCAGCACTTTGGGAGGCTGAGGTGGGTGGATCACCTGAGGTCAGGAGTTCGAGACCAGCCTGGCCAACATGGCAAAACCCCATCTCTACTAAAAATACAAAAATTAGCCCAGCAAGGTGGTGCATGCCTGTAGTCCCAGCTACTCAGGAGGCTGAGGCAGGAGAATCGCTTGAACCTGGAGGCGGAGATTGCATTGAGCCTAGATTGTGCCACTGTATTCCAGCCTGGGCGACAGAGCAATACTCTGCCTGGAAAAAAAAAAAAAAAAAAAGTGGGGCCGGTCATGGTGGCTCACACCTGTCATCTCAGCACTTTGGGAGGCCAAGGCGGTTGGATTGCTTGAGCCGAAGAGTTTGAGACTTAGCCTGGGCAACATAGGGAGACCCCTGTCTCTAAATAAATAAATAAAATAAAATAACATAATGGATGACTGCAGGCACGAATGAATGACCTAAGGAAAGAATCAATGAATGAATGAATCATTGAATGAAGGAATATATGAATATGTGAACTAGGGCATGGATAAGTGAATGAACTAATGCAAGAATTGTTGAATGACTAAATGAAATAGTGCTTAAATTAATGAACTAAGGCATGAACAGATTGATGAATGAATCATTGAATGAGTGAGCAAACTATAATGAAGAAGAGGACTGCATGGGGCCTATGTGCATGGCCTTGGTCTCTGTCTATGCCTGCCCCACTTTATCTGACTCTGGTCTGAAGAACCCCCAGGCCCCCTTTGCCCTCCCCCGCACCATCCAGGGCCTGTGATAACCCCCACTTCAGTGTCTGTCTTGGCCCTGGAGAGGTGGAGGGTGGGGGAGCCCTCCACACCTTGCTGGTTTCCTACCCCAGGCTATCTTGGCACCCCCACCCTGTTTGGTGGCTCTCCCGCCCCTACGCCCAATCTACTGACCACGCGCCCCTGCCCACCTCTCGCCCCAGTGCTATGCGCTGAACCTTTAGCCCCGGCCCCCCTCACCCTGGCTGCCGCCTGTCCTGACCCTCCAGCCTGTGCTGAACCTCATGCCTGGGCCTTGACCTCCTTCCTCTCCGTGCATGTGTTGACCCTCTCCCCAAGTCTGGGTGGACCCCCTGGAGGCCTGTGCTGACCCCCCAACCTCCCGCCCACCCTTGCCTGGCTGTGGCCCGCCCTTCCAGCCGCGCAGACCAACGCCCGCTGTGCTGACGCCTCCTCCCCATTTCGAGTACAGGCACCATGCGGCCCGTGCGGCGCAACTTCTACGACCCGTCGTCGGCGCCGGGCAAGGGCATCGTGTGGGAGTGGGAGAACGACGGCGGCGCATGGACGGCCTACGATATGGACATCTGCATCACCATCCAGAACGCCTACGAGAAGCAGCACCCGTGGCTCGACCTCTCATCGCTAGGCTTCTGCTACCTCATCTACTTCAACAGCATGTCGCAGATGAACCGCCAGACGCGCCGGCGCCGCCGCCTGCGCCGCCGCCTGGACCTCGCCTACCCGCTCACCGTGGGCTCCATCCCTAAGTCGCAGTCGTGGCCCGTGGGCGCCAGCTCGGGCCAGCCCTGCTCCTGCCAGCAGTGCCTGCTGGTCAACAGCACGCGCGCCGCCTCCAACGCCATCCTGGCCTCGCAGCGCCGCAAGGCGCCCCCCGCGCCCCCGCTGCCGCCGCCGCCGCCACCTGGAGGGCCTCCAGGCGCGCTTGCCGTGCGCCCCAGCGCCACCTTCACAGGCGCCGCGCTCTGGGCAGCGCCCGCCGCCGGCCCCGCCGAGCCCGCGCCGCCTCCCGGGGCGCCCCCACGGAGCCCGGGCGCCCCCGGCGGAGCGCGCACCCCGGGGCAGAACAACCTCAACCGGCCCGGGCCCCAGCGCACCACCAGCGTGAGCGCGCGCGCCTCCATCCCGCCGGGGTAAGACGGGGCCCAGGGGGAGGGGGCCTCTGCGTCGTCCGCAGGCAAGGACGAAGCCCGGGGGTGGTTGGCCACTAGGGCAGGAGCAAAGATTACAATAATAATAATGACGATAAGTAATATCCAGCATGCACTAAATGTTCATTTTGTGCCAAGCATCAACTAAGCACCTTTACATGTTCCCACACATCTATCTCCATGCATAAGGACCCTATGAGGTAGGTACCATCATCACCTCCAGTTCACAGATGAAGAACTAACTCCCCCAAGATCAGACAGTTCACAAGTGATGGGGCCATAATAGCAACATCAGCAATGGTGCGTGTTCCATGTTTATTATTTGCTAAACCCGTTATATGTATCACCTCGTTTATTCTGCCAAACAGTTCTACCATGTGCATATTATAGATGGGGAAACCGAGGCTAGGAGAGCTATGGTGCCTTCTCATTTATTCCACCAAACAGTTCTACCATGTGCATATTACAGATGGGGAAGCCAAGGCTGGGAAAGCTATGGTGCCTTCTCAGGGTCACCGGGGAAGGGTAGACATTGGAGTCCAGACCTGCCCAATTCCAAAGTCTGTGCTGTGTTGTCTTAGGATTTTTAGAGGGCTTCAGAGTCCATCTGTCCTTGTCCCAGTCCATGCCCACCTCACATGGTGGCTCGAGCAAGCATCAGCTGCTTGTCCAAAGTATTTCCCCATAGGCTGCACCTGAAATACCACAATTACTCTGGGTTAATACTATGGTTTGCACACTGGGCTCCAGGGACTCCCGGGGTGACCTGGAATCGTGGGGGGTGGGGTAATAGAAAGCCAGGCAAACGAGAGTCTGTCTCTCTGCTCTTGTTTTAACCAGAGCAGCCCTTTTTGGAAACACTTTTATGAACTGGCTTTCTCAGCATGATTTTATTAAGGATGGGCACCCAGCTTGTATCAAGTTTGCAAATTCTTGGGTTAAGGTGTCCCAGGCCCCAGGATAGGGACCCAGTGAGCTGCTGTTGGGTGCCTACCCTGGACTCCAGATTCAGTCATCTGAGCAAAGAACCAAGCCCTGAGGGGTGGCAATGAGAGGAAAGATCAAAGACCTTGAACTTGGGACAGACCAGAAGAGAAAAGACCAGGGGGGTTTGGACTGTGGTCCCCAAGAGGAAGAGAGGGCACCCAAAACCAACTGTGCTTCAATCACTATGGCATGGCCGGGGGAATTGATAATGATGGTCCGAGATCACCAAAGCTCAGATCTGGATGCGACCTTTGGGGTCACTGCATCCAGCTCACCCCTTTTATTATGGGCAAACAAGGCCTGGGAAAAGGAAAGGCCAGGACCCTGAACTAGGTGGCCCTATTCACCTTTTGTCCCTTTGGGAGTCTGACTTCCTGGGTTCGAATCCCCTCTTGGCCACTTCTCTTTTTTTTTTTTTTTTTTTTTTTTTTTTTTGAGATACAGTTTCACTCTGTTGCCCAGGCTGGAGTGCAGTGGCACAATCTCCACTGACTGCAACTTCTGCCTCCAGGGTTCAAGTGATTCTTCTGCCTCAGTCTTCTGAGTAGCTGGGACTACAGGTGCATGCCACCATTCCCGGCTACTGTGTGTGTGTGTGTGTGTGTGTGTGTGTGTGTGTGTGTGTGTTAGTGGAGATGGGATTTCACCATGTTTCCCAGGCTTGTCTTGAACTCCTGACCTCTTGTGATCTGCCAGCCTTGGCCTCCCAAAGTGCTGGGATTACAGGCATGAGCCACCATGCCCGGCCCCCTTCTTGACCACTTCTGAGCTGGGAGACCTGGGACGAGTCCCTCTCCTTCCTTGAGCCTCAGTTTTGTCATCTGTCAAATGGGAGCAGATCTTCCCACCATGTGAAAACGCTGTGTACCTGAACACAGCATCTACACTGGCAGTAGTTCAGCCATGGCCGTTAGGACTACTTTTGCTCTCCAGGAGGAGGGTTGGCATGGAGGGCGGGGAAGCTGTAATTTTCCAGGGATGCATCACAGCCACTACCACCTGCCTGCCTGGTCATTCCTCTCGGAGGAGAGGGTCATGGGGACAAACAGAGGTGTGTCCCATGTGACCTCAGCCTAGGGCAGGCCCAGTGCCAACAGAGAGCAGACTTGAGGGGGTCAAAGAAGACCCCTTGGGGAAGCCTTGTCCAAAGCTGCAGGATAGAGTCACTGAGATCTCAGGGAGATCTCAGGGGGCTGAAGTATCAGTTATGGCCCCTTATAGACAGCAGCTGGGCTCTGGCTGCCTTACAAAAAGAGGGGCTGGAGGTCCCAGAATGACAAGAAGAGTGGGTCCTAGAATGACAGGCTAGGGGGAGTGTGGGAGGGGACAGAACCAGAAAAATTCCAGGGACCTCTGCAGTAAGAATTTGAGAACCTTCTCTCTGGGTAAATTTATTGTAACCCACAAGAAGACTGGAAATCAGAAGGTTAAAAGAAAAAAAAGAAATCAGAAGGTTGTAGCCAGAATTTTCTTGGAACAGAATGGAATGGAATGGAATGGAATGGAACGGAATGGAAAACAGAATAGAACTAGAATAGATTGGCATGTGTAATACATAGTAAAAATAAGAATTGTTACATGTAGCCTGGGAACAGTGCCTCATGCCTGTAATCCCAGCACTTTGGGAGACCAAGGTGGGTAGATCACTTGAGTCCAGGAGTTCAAGACTAGCCTGGGAAACATAGCAAGACACCATCTCTACAACAATAACAAAAAATTAGCCAGGCAGGGTGGTGTGCTTGTAGTCCCAGTTACTCGGAAGGCTGAGGCAAGAGGATCACTTGAGCCCAGTAGGTCAAGGCTGCAGTGACCTGTGATCACACCACTGCACTGCAGCCTGAGAGACAGAGCAAGACACTGTCTCAAAAAAAAAAAAAAATTGCTCCATGAATGTTTTGCATCATTTCTGCATATGTTTAATAGGTTGCGAGGTGAAATGAATTTCTTAGTCACTGATGAAATATTTGAGGCGGGCGTAGTGGCTCACTTTGGGAGGCCAAAGTAGGTGGATCACTTGAGGCCAGGAGTTCGAGACCAGCATGGCCAACATGGTGAAACCCCATCTCTACTAAAAATACAAAAATTAGCTGAGCATGGTGGTACACACCTGTAATCCCAGCTACTGGGAGGATTGCGTGAACCCGGGAGGTGGAGGTTGCAGTGAGCCGAGATCACGCCACTGCACTCCAGCCTGGGTAACAGAGTGAGACTCCGTCTCCAAAAAAATTAAAAAAAGAGAGAGATTTGAAAGCTACTGTTCTAGAGGAGGCTGAAAATTACTCAGCTTTCATGGCCTAGTGTTAATTCTCCAAATATGTGCTGTGGGTGTGTATTCACAGAGCTGAACAAGACAAACAAGGCCTGTGTCCTCCCGGGGCACACAGACAGATGGGGAGACAGACCTACAGCAAGCAAAGAGTAAATGAAGACGATCTCTGGAGTGAGACAGAAGTGCTGGGGAGGTAGTGGGACAGGGTGATGTGGGAATTCAGGGAAAATCCCTCTGAGGAGGTGGCCAGATGTGGAGAACAGCTGATCCATGCAGAGGGAACAGCATGAACAACTTCAAGGGGGCTCGAAGGGCGTGGTGTGTTCAGGGAAGGGCTAGAGGTGTGGGGAGGGCTGGAGTGAGGCGCCAGCAAGAAGGAGAAGGGCACCCCAGGCAGGGCATTGCAGGTGCAAAGGGGCAGAGGTAGGAATGAATCCAGAAGGTTCTGGAGACCACCGGGGGATAGAGGCTCCCTTCTGGAACAGTGGGGGCTGAGATTTTTTACCCCAAATGGGGGTACAAGGCCAGGTTGGGTGGCCTCAGGGAAGCCTGGGCTTGGTGCTGCCATCAGTGGGGAGCTATAGAGTGTGCTTGAGCTCTAGAGGGCTGTAGTGAAAAGGAAGTTTTCTCTTTGGGGGTGCGGATCATTAAACATGTCCTCCTCTGACCTGCCAGAGCTCTGTTGTCTCCAGCCACATGCCGCTCCCCCACAGCCGACATCATTTCTCCTGCCCCTCCCCTTGGGGACTGTTTCTGACCCTCCCTGAGCCCAGACATTGGCCTGGAAAACAGAAGATGTGGGGTGGGGGAAACTTCTCAAGAACTCCCTCATCCCTCCCCACCCACGCAGATGCTGCCCAGCCTCACTCCAGCCCCTCTAACTGATCCTCCCCAGCCAGACAAGCCCGGCTCAAAGTCCCCAACGCTCCATCTCCAAGAAACCCCCCGGGGAAAATCCCTCTGGCTCTCAAGACCCGTGGAGCCTGTTGCTGGGGAAGGGGAGTAGGAGGAAGGAAGATAGGGGTGGCAGACCCTGGCTTCTTCCGCCTAAAGCTTTCCATTGCTGAGACAGCTGAGGCCCAAGTGCAGCCTATGAGGGGAAAGGGATGGAGGTGGGGGGTCTTTGAGGAGCCAGGCAGACAGGTCTACCCACTGTCACTCTCGTCCCCAAACCACCTCCCAGCCCTCCCAACCCTGGTCTCTTTGTTTCTGTGTCTTTGTTTTTTGTTTTTAGAGACAGAGCCTCGCTCTTATTGCCCAGGCTGGAGTACAGTGGCGCAATCACAGCTCCTGGCAGCCTGAAACTTCTGGGCTCAAGAAATCCTCCTGATTCAGCCTCCCAAGTAGGTGGGACTACAGGCACGCACCACCACACCCAGCTAATTTTTTAAAATTTTTTGTAGGGACAGGATCTCACTATGTTGCCCAGGCTGGTCTCAAACTCCTGGCCTCAAGCATCCGCCTGCCTCAGCCTCCAAAAGTGCTGGGAATTATAGGCGTGAGCCACAGCGACTGGCCTGTCTCTATGACTTTAAGTCTGTATTAGTTTGCTGGGGCAGTGGTAACAAAGTAACAGCTTAAACCACAGAAATGTATTCTCTCTTTCACATTCTTGAGACTAGAAGTCCGAGATCACGGTGTCACAGGGTAGTTTCCTTCTGAGGCCTCTCTCCTGGGCTTGTAGATTGCATCTTTTACCTGTGTCCTCATATGGTCTTCCCTCTGTACCTGTCTGTGTCTTAATCTTCTCTTCTTAGAAGGACATCAGTCCTATTGGATTAGGGCCCATCCTAGTGACCTCATTTTATCTTAATTACCTCTTTAAAGACCCCGTCTCTAAATACAGTCACATTCTGAGGTCCTGAGGCTTAAGGTTTCAACACATGACTTCTTTGGGGCACAGTTCAGCCCATAACAATGTGTCTGTGTGTCTCTCCTTTTATAATTTACCAATACTTTTTTTTTTGAGACCGTCTTGCTCTGTTACCCAGGCTGGAGTGCAGTGGTGCAATCTTGGCTCACTGCAACCTCCACCTCCCAGGTTCAAGTGATTCTCCTGCCTCAGCCTCCCAAGTAGTGGAGATTACAGACACCTGCCACCATGACCGGCTATTTTTTGTATTTTTAGTAGAGACGGAGTTTTGGCATGTTGGTCAGGCTGGTCTCGAACTCCTGACCTCAAGTGATCCACCCACCTCGGCCTCCCGAAATTCTGGGATTACAGGCATGAGCCACTGCGCCCGGCCAATTTGCCAATAATTTTAATGGCAAAAACCACCATTTCTTTTGCACCAAACAATATCTCTGTGTGTCTTGGTCTTTTTCAGTCTTTCCATATCTCTTTGTAGCTCTGTGTCTCTCTCTCTCTTTCTCTGTCTTCTGCCTTTTCCTCTTAGTCACTCTCTTTCCTTCCCTGGCTTCCTTCTGTCCACCCTCCTTCTCTCCCCTCCTGGACCCAAACAGATCCAGAGCCCTTTACAGGTTGGGTGACCTTGGACCCACTTGAGGCTTGGCCTCTCTAGCCTCAGTCTCCCCATCTGTCAGACAGAGCTAAAACCACCACCTCTCACATGGGCAGACTCAGCAAGGATCAGCTTGCAAGGGAGGTGTGAACTCTGCAGAGATCTTCAATGTCATTCTCACCTCCAACCTCATCTCAGCCCTGGACGGGTAACAGCGAAGGAGGCCCAGAGAGGGGGATTGGCTCATCTAGGGTCACCCAGCCAGTGGGGGCAGAGTATCCACCTGGCCAGGGTTTTTTCCACTTGCCCCTGTAACAGACAGGGCGGGGAGCCAGCTGGCAGCCTGGGCCTGGGGGACCTGCGGGGGTGGGGAAGATCCGCCCTGTCCCCTGAGGGGTCAGTGTCCAGTGCGTTGGAACACAGCTGTGGAGCAGAGGAACCACACTCAGAGTTTCCACCCCACGTGGTGGGTGGGAGGACAGTGATAGCTGCGGGCCTATTTCCATTTATCGAGCGCTCCCTATGTCCCAGGCTCTCAATTTCATGGCTTTTTTGTGTGTGTGAGACAGGGTCTCACTCCGTCACCCAGGCTGGAGTGCAGTGGCACAATTATAGCTCACTGCAACCTCGACCTCCTGGGCTCAAGCAATCCTCCTGCCTCAGCCTCCTAAGTAGCTGAGACTAAAGGTATGCACCACCATGCCCGGCCAATTTTTTATTTTTGTAGAGATGGGCGTCTCACTATGTTGCCCAGGCTAGTCTCAAATTCCTGGGCTCAAGTGATCCTCTCGCCTTGGCCTCCCAAAGCACTGGGATTACTGGCATGAACCACTGTGTCTGGCCATTTACAGGCATGTCTCTCTTAATTCTCACAGATACTCAATGTGGCAGGTTCTATAATCCCCATTTTTCAAATGAGGAAACTGAGGCTCCAGAAGACTAAGACATTTGCACAAGGTAACACAATTAGGACTCAGATTCAAAAACCCAAGTTGACCAGCATATTGGGGATGCCCCATCTCCAGCCAGCCTGTACTGTTTTGGATCATGGTCCCAGAAGCCCCACCCTGATTCCTGTGTGACCCTGCCTGAGCTCATCTTCCTCTCTGGTCTTCAGTTTTTGCATCTGTGAAATGGGACTGGCAACACAGGCCCACATAGTCCATCATGAAGCCAGATGTCAAAGCACTTGGATTTCTCAGGCCCGTACCCTTTTTTTTTTTTTTTAGATGGAGTCTCACTTTGTTGTCCAGGCTGGAGTGCAGTGGCGAGATCTCCACTCACTGCAACCTCCGCCTCCCAGGCTCAAGCAATACTTGTACCTCAGCCTCCTGAGTATCTGGGACTACAGGCGCACGCCACCAACCCGGCTAATTTTTTATATTTTTTGTAGAGGTGGGGTTTCACCATGTTTGCCAGGTTGGTCTCCAACTCCTGACCTCAAGCAATCCACCCACCTTAGCCTCCCAAAGTGCTGGGATTACAGGCGTGAGCCACAGTGCCCAGCCAGGCCTGCTCCCATTTTAAATCCACCCTTGTCCCTCCCATCTCTATCAGATTTGTACAACATTGCCAAGCTGATAATTCCTAAAGAGACGTCATTTAAGTTTCCGTACCCTTGGTTCTTAGTTGAACCTGAGAACTTTTTCCTGTTTACTGGCCATGAGTGGTTCCTTCTTTTGCCAATTACTTGTGTATTTCTTTGGCTTATCCTTCCCTGGAGCTGTTTATTGCTTCCTTATTAATTTGCAAGTGTTCTTCCTGCATTAAGGGCATTAACCCTTTGTCTCCCATCTTTTCTGTAGTTTGCTGTTTCTTTTTCCTTTATAGCATATGTTCATCTGTTTTTTAATTAATTCATTCATATTTATTGAATAACTTCTGTGTGGCAGGCACTGTTTGGGGCCCTGGGGACACAGCAGTGAACTAAACAGACAGTCCTTGCTCTCTTGGAGCTCACATTCTAGTGGGAGACAAACACGAAACAGAATAAATTAATTGTAGAATATGGTAGAAAGTAGTAACTGCTACAGAGGAAAAATATAGGAGAGAAAGGATGTAGGGAGTGATGAGAAGAAAAGGCCTCATGGAGAAGGTAATACCTTCTTGAGCAAAGGTGGAAGGAGGTTAAAAAGCAAGGTATGGTCCAGGCACTGTGGCTCACACCTGTAATCCCAGCACTTTGGGAGGCTAAGGTGGGAGGATCACTTGAGCCCAGGAATTTGAGACCAGCCTGGACAACATAGTGAGACTCCACCTTTACAAAATTTTTTTAAATTAGCTGGGTGCGGTGGTGCGTGCCTGTAGTCCCAGCTACACAGGAGGCTGAGGTGGGAGGATCCCTTGAGCCCAGGTTGCAGTGAGCCAAGATCGAGCCACTGCACTCCAGCCTGGGTGGCAGAGCAAAACCCTGTATCAAGAAAAAAAAAAAAAAGCAAAAGAACTGGGGGAAGAGCATTCCAACATGCCAGACAGCAGAACAGCATGTGCAAAGGCCCTGAGGCAGAGTGGGTCTGGGGTGCCTGAGAAGGCCAGTGTGGTTGGAGAGGCTCAGGGCAATCGGTGGGAAAGAAGTAAGAGAGGAAAAGGCGCCAGGTCACACAGGGTCTGGAAGGTTGCGGTTAGGACTTTGGCTTTTGCTCTGCATGAGAAGGGAACCAGCAGGGCTGTGTGTTGGGAGAGACGGGTGGGACTGTTTTAACAGGTTCACTCTGAATGCTGAGCATAGACCGCAGTGGGGCTGAAGCAGGAGGCCAAGGGCAAAGGGACTTTGTTGTGGTGGGTGTGTTTTAGGGTTTTCCTTCCTTTTTTTTCCTTTTTTCTTTAAATTTCTTGCAGTGATTTTATGCTTTTATTTTTAAAAAATCCACATTTTCTTTCTCCAGATCTTCCATAAGTATTACATTTCAGGGGTTTGAAAATGTTAAAGTACTGACAGGTACACTGTGAAGTCAAGGACCCCACCAGGCCCCTGGCTGCCCACCCTCCCCCACTTTTCTGCCCCGCTAGCCACTGGTGTGCAGTGACTGTCACCCCGCCTCACCGCTGCTGCAAGGTCAAACCAAACACTCCCCCCACCCTGCCCCCCACCTGAAGCACTTCCTGCCCTGCTCCCTGGGAGACCAAACCACACACACTCCTGTCTGCACGTGGCTGCCCCGGGCCGTGGGAACAGCCGGTCCTGCCCTCCCCTCCCCTACCTGACCGGTCCTCCCTGCCCCCAACCATCTCCTCCCGTTCCTTCCCCCGCAGAGAGCTGGGCAGGCTGGAGGACCGGGAGGGTTGAAGAGTGACCCCCGCAGCCCCCATACCTCTAGATAAATCTGAGCCTCCAATACCACTCACACCTCAAAATGTCTCCCGAGGGGACTTTTACATCCTTTAATCTCTAGAACATGGAAGTAAGGGGTCTAGAAGACAGAAGTAAGGGGTCCCATTTCACAGAGGGGACACTGAAGCCCAGAGAAGCTCAGAGGTTTGTCTAGGCAGACGGAGGTGCTGGGGTAAGGAAAGGGGAAGTGAGGACCCCAGACAGCAGCTGAGGAGGAGTCCATGGGCACCTGGTCCCCCGGGCTTGCAGCGATGTCCTTCAAGTCTCTGCAGTGGGGGTGGCGGCAGGGACTTGGCCCCAGGCTGTGTTCCCCAGGACTGTGGGGGGAGGAGGGGGAGAAGGCAGCTATGAGGCAGAGACAGCCCTGAAAGTGGGGAAAGGTGACAGGCTCACACCCCTAGAAAGGAGAAAGGGAGAGGGTGGGGGGTCCCTAAAGCACTGTTCAACTTCCTTCTCCCCATAAAGTGACATCCTCACTTCTGCCCCCTCCTCACCCACTTGGCCCCAAATGACTGAGTCCTGAGGCTCCTGGGGCTCTTTGGGGTCTGCTGGGTAAGTGTGAGGTATCCTGAAGGGGGCCAAGGCCAATGGGGGACCTGGAAACTAGCATCAGAGAAAGTAACAAGTCTAGGCCTGCTGGGGGTGGGAGGGGAGAGATAAGGAGACCAGACTTTGGAGGAGGGAGGGGACTTGGCTGCCCTAAAGGGAGGGTCAGTTGTCAGTGTTTCGGGATCCTGGACCCCTCTAGGGGACAGAGAGAGGTGGCCAAAGCAGGCCAATGGATCCAGTTAGACAGCCCTGATCTACCCTGCCCAGGCCTGAGCCAGCTCCAGGATCCAGGTCAAAGACTTCAGCCCACCTGTAGAGCACAGAGGGCTCTCTAGGCTGGCTCAACTCCAGATGGCTCCACAGACCAACCTGGCAGGGTCAGCCCTGGCCCCTGACTCGGAAACTCCAGGACCCAGTGCCAGCTGCACCACCAACCAGCTGGGTGACCTTAGTGAAGTCATTTCCCTTCTCTGGGCTTCAGTCCCATCATCTGCAAAATAAATGACAAATAGAGTTCATCTCATGTGCCATCTCTGCTCCAGGGCAGTGACTTCCTGGAGCACTGTGTTGAGGAGGATTCTGAAGTTGCATCTTGGCTTAGCGGTAAGGCATGCCGAAATTGATTAGTAATGCCTGCTGTGGGTGCTAGGAGGACAGTAGTGGTATGCACTCATATATTTGACATTCCTGCTCTAACTTTGTCTGGCAGAAGAGGCGGCGTGGACCAGATCATACAGGGCCTGGTCATGCTTAAAGAGGGATAACATTAGGAGATATATCTAATGTAAATGATGAGTTAATGGGCGCAGCACACCAGCATGGCACATGTATACATATTTAACAAACCTGCACGTTGTGCACATGTACCCTAGAACTTAAAGTATAATTTTAAAAAAAGACTATAATGTCAGGTCGTGATTAGTGCTATGAAAAAAGAATTCAGTAAGGTAAGGACAAAGATGGGCTTTTTAAAAATAAAGTGGTTGCGGCCAGGCACAGTGGCTTATGCCTGTAAACCCAGCACTTTGGGAGGTCGAGGAGGGAGGACTACTTGAGCCCAGGAGGTCAGGTCCAGACCAGCCTGGGCAACACAGCGAGGCCCTGTCTCCTCAAAAGTTTTGTTGTTGTTGTTGTTGTTGTTGTTTAAGCTGGGTGTGGTGGTGTGTGCCAGTAGTCCCAGCTACTCAAGAGGCTGAGGTGGGAAGATCGCTTGAGCCCAGGAGTTCAAGACTGCAGTAAGCAATGGTTAAGCCACTGCACTCTAGCCAGGACAACAGAGCAAGATCTTGTCTATAAATAAATAACTAAATAAAGTGGTCGGGAAGGTGTCTCAGATAAGCTGACATTTGAGCAGAGACCTGTGCTAAGTGAGGGAGTGTGCCATGAGGATATCTGGGAAGAGCACCTTGGGAAAGGGTCAGCAAGTGCAAAGGCCCTGGGGTGGGAGTGTGCCTGGCATGCTTGAGAAAGAGCAGAGAGACCAGGGTGGCTGGAGTGGAGTGGGAGAGGGGTGAACACATAGGAAATGAGGTTCAGAGGGTAGATGGGGGCCAGATCAGGAGGCCAGGTGTTAACTGTGAGCAAAGTGGGAGCTGCAGGAGGAGTGAGAGCAGAGGACAGATGGGATCTGATTTGGGACTGGGAAAGGCAGAGAGGCTTGCATGGCAGTGGGGCCCATGCCTGCCTTCTGGTCAGAGTAGATTTCGGGGAGGGCCTGAGGGACTCCTCAGGTCCTGTGCCAGCCTGGGCCCCCAAGAAGGCAGAGCTAGGGGTGAAGGCTGGCTCCCCTTCCGGGAGGCCCGCAGGCAGCGGTCGCTTGTCCAGGCAGGAGGATGTTCTCACTGACTCGGAGGAAACAGCGTGTCCCACATCAAAAGGGGGCCGGGTGGCTCCCACGCTCAGGGTTCGTGGGAACTCTGCTACCCTGGGTTCTCGCAGGAGGCCTGCAGTTAGAGAGAAGCTGGAGACTACCTCGGGACTGTCCCCCAGGCTCACTGATGGGTAAATAAATAACAGTCCCACAGTGACACCCCACTCACAGTGCTCTTCCCAGGAGCAAGACTGACTTTTGTAATCTAGGGCTATGTGGTATTTAAGGGGCTCCAGAAATTTTAGGGCAGCTGAGATCTAAATCCTTCCCTTCCTGGAGTACCCTCTGTCTAACTCCTAGACCAAACACTCAGCAAGAGCAGGGTTACCCACTGGGCCAGACTGGGCATTATATAGACCTGGGGTAGCAAACTGGCTATACTGATTGATAGAGGCTGCTTGGAGAGCTGTACTGAGGACTCTGCTAAGCTTGAGAGAGTGCTGTGATGGATTAGTGATGTCTGCCACAGGCAGGAGACCAACCAGTGGTGGTATGCATGCTCAATATTTTTCTTTCCACCCAATTTATAGGTAGTCCTGGAGAAAAAAAGAGATACTTTCTTCTTGTGAGGCAGAAAGGAAGAAAGAGGGGTGAGGCAGACCTAGACTTAACCAGGTTGTCTGCACTAGAGGTGCTTGAAGAATGGGCAGGAAAGAGGAAAAGCTTGAGGGAAATGCCTCTATGCATTCCTATAAAAGTATAGAGAGGGAGGAAGTTAGAGTGGTGACAGCTGCCCCCCTGAGGAAGGCCCTGGAGGATTATGACAGACCCTGAGAAGGGTCAAATGAATACTCAGTGCCCCTCTTCCTGGGGCCCCCCCGCAGGGTGCCCGACAAGAAAATCAAGACACCTCCACTCTCATCCCTGCGCCAAATGATGAGCTTTACATGTTTTAGCACATTTAACTTTCACAGGACTCTATCCCCATTACAGGTGGGGAAACTGAGGCACAGTGCTTTCTTCCCACCTCCACTGACCAGGTCCTGGGGGACCCAGGGTACCCGCCATCCCATCCTGCCTCCCTCGGGAGCTGTGTTCATTGACTTCCATCACACCGGCGCCTCCTCAAGGGGCTCAATCCAGATGTCTGCTCCAGACCTCTCCACAGCCCTCAGAGGGGTCTGGGATGGGAGTCCTGGCCACGTGATACTATCCTGTATAGCCGAGCAGCCACCAAGTGGGTGTGTGTGCGCTGCACCTGTGTGCATGTGTGATTGTGCCTCTGCATGTGTGCAGGTGTGGGCCTCCCAGGCTGAGTGTCTGTGTGTCAGTGTCAGGAGGTGTGGGTCAGAGCATGTGCGCATGTGTCCTCGTGTGCAGTGAGTCAGCGTGTCCTCCTGCGCCCCCATGCATGATGTGAATCAGTACGCACGAGTACTTCCCCACAGGCGGTGCGGAATCGTGTGTCCGCGTGTGGACGGCAGGCCGTTCTGCAGGCTGCAGCGCGCCGGGGGCTTGTAGGGCTGAGCGCATGCTCCTCTGGGTTTGCTGCCCACCTTACCCAGCTCTGTGCAGCTGGGGAGAGGGGCGGCAGTAGCAGGTGCGGTACTGGTCTACATGAGCCACCGACTCTTGTCCAATGGAGTATCCTCCCAGGGGAGAGCTGTGTGTGCTTCTGTGTGTATGTGTGTGTCCCCGTGTGTGCACAAGTCTCTGTATGTAGGTGTGGGGAGGCATTCCCTGGAATATGTGAGTGTGTGTGTATCTTAATCCATGTATGTTTGTGGGGGGCGTGCCCTGAAGTGTGCCTGTGTGTATCCATGTATATGTTCATGGTGTGCATTCCCTAGTGTGTGCGGTATGTTCCCCAAGTAGACGGATGGGGAGGGAGGCTCCCTGGTATCTGTGTGTCTGTGTGTGCATGTATCTGTGATGTACTCCCTGGGTTGTGTGTGTTTGTGTGTCTGTGTACTTAAACATGTGTGTGTAATGTGTCCCGGGGAGTATGATAAGTCTGTGTGGTCTTCTCCATGCATGTGTGTATATTTGGATCTGTGGATCTGTGTGGATGGTGTGTGCCCTGGGTGTGTATGTCTGTGTGTCTGCACCCACTGCAGCAGTACCCAAGCCTGCCAAGGGCACCATTTGCTTGAAGATGCTTTCTGGTGCCAACTGTGCCTGCCAAGGACAGGTGACCAGACAGCATTAGACAGGCTGTGACCTGAACAGGCACGGCCAGAGCCAAGGGGGCTGCTGCAGCTCCTTCTCCAGCTGTCACTGCTCCCAGCCCTTCCTGCCCCCTCTCCTGGCACATCCCCCAAGGCCTTCAGGCTGACCCCTGGATTTCAGAACACCCCTCTTCATCA
Organism: Homo sapiens; assembly: GCF_000001405.40. Classification (NCBI taxonomy): domain Eukaryota; kingdom Metazoa; phylum Chordata; class Mammalia; order Primates; family Hominidae; genus Homo; species Homo sapiens. Next base: position 113,091,898 of record NC_000012.12, read on the forward strand.
GAACGTATCCAGCCTGGGTTCCATGCCCATCAACAGCAAGACACCAGTTCCCCTGCATAAACAGGTGCTGAAGTCAGGAGGACTCAGGCAGACACACTGTACACATCACCGCAAGCTCTCCTTCAGTCCTCCCAACGACTATAAGTGAGGTGTTAATATGCCTGTTTTACAGATAAGGTAACTGAGGATCAAGAAGTTAAGTGACTTGTTCAAGGTTGTCACTGCAGCAGTTTTGTGGTTTCCTCTCTAAGATGGAGAGAAGTTACACCAGGACTTAGTGCCTGGGAAGCAAAGAGGTGAAATTACTCGGCCAGGATTGCACAGCTGACAGTGATGATACCGATGGCTGTGCTTTTAGTAGCTGTTAGGTACCAGGAACTGTGCTTGGCCCTTGACACATATAATTTCACGGAATCCTCACAGCAGATTAAAAAAAAAAAAAGGTACCATATTGTCCCCATTTTACAGACCACCCCTTACAAGAGATGAGATGATGTGCTGTGTGTCGCCCAGCTCATTAGTGGTTGAACTGAGATATGAAAGCAGCTCTGGCTGACTCCAAAAGCCAAAGCTCTTTTGAGGGCCAGAGGAAGAGGAGAGTCAGGATACCTTTTCCTAGGGGCTCTTCATTTGAAGAGAGGATAGTACCTTGTCACAGAAACTGACATCAGTAAATATTCCAGAAGAGAAAAAAAATTCATCACCAAATGCTTTTGAAAACCTGGACTTATCATTGTTAATGATATGTTCTTACGCAGGGCTTGTCAGAGCCTTTAATATGCTCAGATATGTTGTGAATTTCAGAGAGGGAGACAGTGACGTGTTCCTAACTTACTTGATTCCTGAATCCTTCTTTCCTGGAACGTTTTATGGAAATTAATAATGCTACATCTAACAAGCTTTGAGAGATGTTAAAATAGCTACACCACTAGTAGTTGGGTTTCAGGCACAGCGGCCAACGAAAGGAGCCCTCAGAGCCAAAGCGCCCTCTCGAGGGAGGAGCCGGCTGTAGGGTAAGGAGGTGTCTGCACTAAAGTCTAAGGGTGCATCCCATTGGAACCTGGGCGGAGGTCCTGGCCACCCCCGCCCCATAATAGGATGTCAGAGTAGAAAGAGAGTTTCCTGGAGGTAACTGCAGTTGGCAGAGAGGTACAAAGAGGCCAGGGTGTGTGGCCCAGGAGCCAGAGACAGAAGGCAAGCCAGGTCCCCTGACGTCGCTTCGGGGGCTGGAGTCCAGCTGCGGCCTCTTCTCTTCTCCCCGCAGGGTCCCCGCACTCCCGGTGAAGAACTTGAATGGTACTGGGCCGGTCCATCCGGCCCTGGCAGGTGAGGTCTGGCCCAGGGCGGGAAAGAAGGGCGGGGCCCACTAGGAGGCAGCTCCGCCTGTCACCCGGTGACCCCGCCCCCGAGATGGGCTGGTGAGCGTGGCCCGGAGGAAACGCCCCCTTCCACTGGGCCCAGGACACAGGGCGGGCGTGGCCCGCAGAAAGGCCCTTCAGGGGCCTTCAAGGGGCTGAGTGGGTGGGGCCCAAGAGCGCAACCCTCCCACCCACCCGAGGGCCCCGGGATTCCCAGGGCCAGTGGTCGGGGGTTTGGGCGGGGATGGCGCCCCGCCCTGTGACTGCGCCCCCTAACCCCCAGGGATGACCGGGATACTGCTGTGCGCGGCCGGGCTGCCCGTGTGCCTGACGCGGGCCCCCAAGCCCATCCTGCACCCGCCGCCCGTGAGCAAGAGCGACGTGAAGCCCGTGCCTGGCGTGCCCGGGGTGTGCCGCAAGACCAAGAAGAAGCACCTTAAAAAGAGTACGCCCTCCACGCCCTGCCTCACACGAGATGAACCCCACTAAGCCTTGACCACAACTCTGTGACCCCTGGTCTCCAACTTATTCTTAGCATTTACTACCTCACCTCCATTGCCTGATCTCAGCTCCCCTTGCCCTGGCCCCATCTTTCACCAGCTCCTGTTACAGCTAACCTCCAGCAACCCCTGACCTCTGACCCTGGCCAACCCTTGCCAGCCTGACCCCGGCCAACCCTTGCCAGCCTGACCCCTGCCCTCTGACCCCTGACCCAGTTCTGAGCCAAGCCTTCGGGGACAGACTCTGGGTACCCTCAAACCCACCCCGCTGTGTCCCTGCAGGTAAGAATCCCGAGGATGTGGTTCGAAGATACATGCAGAAGGTGAAAAACCCACCTGATGAGGTGAGGAGGGGATGGGGGGGCTGGGGGAGGGCCCTGGCATGGAGGGGGCAGGAACCCTCACCCCTCCTCCTGGGTTCTGGGTGATACAGAGCTCTTCTAGTTTGTTCCTTTCTTCACTTTATGAGGTTTTTTGATGAATAGAAATACTTACGTTTAATAGACTCACATTTATCCATCTTTTGATGATTGAGTTTTTGTGTCATTTTCACCCATATTTTCCACTAAATGTTTTTAAGTTTTGCTTTTGATAGTTAAGCCCTTAATTCACCTGGGGGGTGGTGAGGGGAGCCATCTTCCTCTGTGATATATCAGAATTCAATATATGGGAAGGGGCTGGGTGCAGTGGCTCATCCCTGTAGTTCCAGCTACGTAGGAGGCTGAGGCAGGAGGATCTCTTGAGCCCAGGAGTTTGACTCTGCAGTGAGCTATGATTGCACTGCTGCACTTCAGCCTGGGCAACAGAGCCTGTCTCTTAATAAAAATAAATAAATAAAATAAATAAAATAACGAAGAAGAAGAAAAGAAAATAAAACAATGTATGGGGCAGAGGGTGTGTCCTGTCTCCCTTTGCCAAATGGGTACCAGAGAGAGTGTGGTCTGCTGCCTATGGTGACCCACCAAGGGGCAGTGCTGACCCAGTAGGTGCCCTGCCCTCCCCAGTCCTCAGTCTCCCCTGCTGCCACCTGCAGGACTGCACCATCTGCATGGAGCGACTGGTCACAGCATCAGGCTACGAGGGCGTGCTTCGGCACAAGGGCGTGCGGCCTGAGCTCGTGGGCCGCCTGGGCCGCTGTGGCCACATGTACCACCTGCTGTGCCTCGTGGCCATGTACTCCAATGGCAACAAGGTGGGTTGGGCGGGACAATGGCTGAGGAGTGGGCAGGGAACGGAGTGGGGTTTGGGGGGGTGCTGGGAACTCACTGCCAGCCTCCCCTGCCCAGGATGGCAGCCTGCAGTGCCCCACCTGCAAGGCCATCTACGGGGAGAAGACGGGTACGCAGCCGCCTGGGAAGATGGAGTTCCACCTCATCCCCCACTCGCTGCCCGGCTTCCCTGATACCCAGACCATCCGCATCGTCTATGACATCCCCACAGGCATCCAGGTGGGCTCCCCTTCCGCCTCTCTGGCCCCCAGCCCCCACACCCCTCCAACTCCTCCAGATGCTTCTCCACCCTGCCACCACCTGTTCATGGTCTAAATCCCTGTACTGTCCCTCTCTGCAGGGCCCTGAGCACCCCAACCCCGGGAAGAAGTTCACCGCAAGAGGATTCCCTCGCCACTGCTATCTACCCAACAACGAGAAAGGCCGGAAGGTGGGTGCCCAGCCGTGAGGGCATGGGAGATAGGCACAGGCAGGGGCTCCAGCAACCACTGGCCTGGGCCTGTGGTCCCCATCATTCCCAATCCCTGCTCTCACATTCCTCCCAAAAGCAGCACCCGAACAGTAACGACCACAGCCACCTCCTTCACACATCTTATCTCGTTTCCTGAGCCACTGAGGTCAAGATCCTGACCCCATTTTATAGACAAAGACACAAGGCTTCAGAAAGGGCAAGTCACTTGACTGTGGTCACAGAGAAACTAAGTGGCGGAGCTGGGATTTGAGCCCAGGCAGTCCAAGCTGTCACCACCACCCTACAGGTTGTCTGATTTGACTTTCTGCTTTTCAAGAGCACCAAGAAATCCAGATTTTCATGGGAAATCTCTAGGCTTTTGAATGTTAGTAACTAATTTACAAGTGGCTCTTTAATATAGTGTGGAGTCCAAACTAAATAGAGCAGAGAGCTGCCAGATGCTTTCTTCACCCCAGAAAAAAACAGGCAGGGCCGGGTGTGGTGGCTCATGCCTCTAATCCCAGCACTTTGGGAGGCTAAGGCGGGCAGATCACGAGATCAGGAGTTTGAGACCAGCCTGGACAACATGGTGAAACCCCGTCTCTACTAAAAATACAAAAATTATCCGGAGTGGTGGAGTGCGCCTGTAGTCCCAGCTACCTGGGAGGCTGAGGCAGGAGAATTGCTTGAACTCAGGAAGCAGAGGTTGCACTGAGTCGAGATCACCCCACTGCACTCCAGCCTGGGTGACAGAGCAAGACTCCATCACAAAAAAAAAAACAGGCAGGCCAAGCGCAGTGGTGCACACCTGTAATCCCTGCACTTGGGGAGGCCGAGGTGGGAGGATCACTTGAGGCCAGGAGTTTGAGACCAATCTGGGCAACATAGTGAGACTTGGAGAGGCTGATGTGGGACGATTGTTGGAGCCCAGGAGTTCGAGGCTGCAGTGAGCTCTGGTTGCACTGCTGCACTCCAGCCTGAGCAACACAGCAAGACTCTGCCTCAAAAAAAAAAAAAAAAAAAAAAAGAAAAAGAAAAAAAAGAAAAGGAAAGAAAAGAAAAGAAAAAACAAACATAAGTAACTTGGAAAGAGCTTTTACTGGAAGTTCAGGAAATACAAATGCAAAGGAAATGGCCAAGCCAGCAGTACGTAGTTGGTGCTAATGGACGAAGCCATAAGGTAGCCATGATGTGGCAGGGGAGGGAGGGAGGCTGAGGCTGGTGGGCTGGAAGCTGCCTGTGACCTCCTCCCGGCCCCACTGTGTCCCTGTCCCCCCAGGTGCTGCGGCTGCTCATCACGGCCTGGGAGAGAAGACTCATCTTCACTATCGGCACGTCCAACACCACGGGCGAGTCGGACACCGTGGTGTGGAACGAGATCCACCACAAGACCGAGTTTGGATCCAACCTCACGGGCCACGGCTACCCGGACGCTAGCTACCTAGACAACGTGCTGGCTGAGCTCACAGCCCAGGGCGTATCCGAGGCTGCAGCCAAGGCTTGAGGCCCAAGGCTGCCCACCTTCCCTCCTGCTTTGCCCCTGGTCCGGCAAATGCCTCCTTCGCCAGGTGTGTCCTGGTAGCCCAGGTTCAGGGCTGGGGAGGAGCCTGCGGAAGGGGCCGCAGCCATTCAGGGGACCTGCCTGGTGGCAGCTGGGATGAAGAGAGATGGCATGTCAGGCTGGCCCCGAATCATAGCTCCCTGAGAGGGCCAAGCAGAGAGTACTGGAAACCTCCCTACCAAAAAGACAGAGACCCGCCCCCTCACACACAAACACACATGTCCTGTTGAACTCATGCACGCACACCCACGTGCCTGTACTTGCCCCCAGGCTGGAAGAGAAGAGACAGAAAGACCCCATGACCCCCCCATGTGGATCCCCATCTGTGTCTCAGTTGCATCTGTACAGCCTTGTCTGCAAACTGGAGGATGCGGGGCAAGCCCTTAGGGGCCTGCCAGGGCTCGGGGGGCAAAGAGGGACTCGGGAAACTCAGTGTACCCCAGATGCCTCACCCATTCCGTGTCATCACCCATGTCTGCCACCCACTGATTGGGCAATTGTGGGCCCATGGGGTGGAAGCCCCCAGATGACTGAGCAGTTCTACAAAAGAATGGCCAGCACGAGCGGGGACTAGAGGGTCCTGATTTTGTGTCTGTGCCTCTTCATCTCTCTGGACTCTGATCTCCTTCTCCCTTCCCATCTCCAGGCCTTCTGTCTGTCCCAGATAAAGGCGCTGTTCTCCCATCCTCCCTACCCCATCCTCTCCACCAAATCGCTCCCAATTTTGAGAGCCAAAGGCTGGCGCTTCTGACTTCAGGAGCGAAAGGAGGAGGCCTAGTTTGGGCCGATGTATTTTAAAGCAGAGTGGACAGCAGAGAGTCAATTTCCCTTTCGTTGGGAGTGGGCAGTGGGGTGGCTAATTGTCTTCGGCCAACCAGGGGCCTGTTGCCCAGGCAACTCACCAGCTCCGCCTCTGCTGATTGGCTGCCACGGTGGGAGTCAGCCAAGATTTAAAGGGATGCCAGCGATTGCTCTTTTCAAAACCTACCAGTCCCACTGTGGGTGGAGAAATAAATGGTCTTTCTCCTCCTCGCCTGGTCTTTTCCTGCCAAGAGAGGGGTGGGTGGCTCTGTTCCTGGGGGCTGCAGTCAGCCCCGTTGGGGAGTGATGGCTTGCAAGAGAATGACTTCAGGGTCCTTGCCTCGGGCTGGAAGGGGTGGGGGCGGTGAAGCAGTGGCAGACCCTCCTAGTCCTAGTCTCCAAGAATGCAGAGGTGAAAGTGCCCTTCTCTTTCACAAGAGCACAAGGCAATGCACACATCTGCTCCCTGGCACAATGACAAGAAACAAGGAACTCAGGTGCAGAGCTGGGAGCCTCGAGGGAAATACGGAGGAGCTGGGAGACACTGTGATCAGCTCATCAGGATCTCAGAGCTTGTCAGGACCCTGTCCTTGGGGAGGAGGGTCAGGTTCTAACTAGGGAAAAACAGGGATGGACCCCAGCCTTAAATCAGCCTCTCTGCAACATGCCAGGACGCCCCTGTAGTTCTGGTGGATGCTGCGGCTTCGGGCAACCCCTGCTGGCCACCCTCGGGATAGCGCCGTGTCTTTCCTGGTCCACTTGATCCCCTGCCAGGTAGGCTTTGGTTTCTGTCCCACCCCCTAGTGACACAACACCGGAAACGAGTCCTTGGAGGCCCTTCCAGTTCTGCCAGTCACATGTTCCCAAACATTTGTACTCCGTGGTTCATTCTCAGACAAAACCTCAACCCAAACTCTGGCATATAAAATTGCAAGCCAGGCACTGACTCACACCTGTAATCCCAGCAACTAAGGAGGCCGAAGCGGGAGGCTCATTTGACGCCAGGAGCTTGAGACCAGCCTGGGCAACATAGTGAGACCCCCCATCTCTACAAAAATTTAAAAATTAGCCAGGCGTGATGGCTTGCACCTGTAGTCGCAGCTGCTCTGGAGGCTAACGTGGGAGGATCACTGAAGTCCAGAAGTTTGAGGGTGCACTGACCTATGATCATGCCACTGTACTGCAGCCTGGGCAACAGAGTGAGACCCCCAACTCTAAAAACAAAATAAAATAAAATTGCCCATTCCCCAGGCCTGTGGTCCTCAAAGCTGATACTCATCCAAATGACCTACGGAATCTGTTAAATAACCCTGATTCTTGCCTTCATATACCCTCAGATTCTGAGTCAGTAGCTGGCTGGGCCTCAGAAATCTGCATTTCTAGCAGACATTCTAGCGGGTGGTCTTTGGCCCACAGTCAGAGAAACTCCTCCCTTGTTCTTGAACTACCTCATTGGAATCCAGTTTGAAAACCACACATCTAGACTTTCCCTCCTCTTTTTATACAGGGTAATCTGAGACCCAGAGAGAGATAAACAGCCTGGCCCAAGGTCTCCCAGGCTCCAAGGGTCTGAGTTTGGCACACTGGACCCCCACCCAGCCTTGGTTCTTCCTGAGGGCACCTGATTCTGGAAGCTTGTGGTTGGAGTCCTAGGCCAAGGGCAGGGTACAGAAGAATCAGTGAGGTTATAGGGATTAGCAGACATGAAAACAGGAAGGAGTGAGGCCATTTAGTGCCCATCTGGGGCAACAACATCACATGGGCATCAGGAATTCAGGTCCAGCTGTATCCAGCAGCTCAGGGCCAGGCTGGCCTCCTTGGTATGGATAGAGGCCAGTTTGGTGAAGTAGAGACCCCAGTCTCAGTCAAATAAGTCAGGTTCCTTATCCTATCCACTCCAGTCTGAATCAAGCCAGAGGGCAAGTTTCACTCAGTGCAAGGCTGGCCCCTGCCAAAGGGCTTCCATGCCCTGAGTTCTGGACTCAAGGCACACAGGACTAGGCACGTCTCTGGGAGCCTCCAAACCACAGAATCAAAGAGGTCCAAGGAGACAGGAGACTCCCGGGGCAGGATGCGCTGAAGAGGGCCCCCTGGCTCTTGCTCCTCCTTCCGGGCTAGCTCTGGCATTTCCTTAGGGGCCAAGGGGGCCCAGGGCCGCCTTCCCTCGCTCCTGCTGCTGGAACTCCTCGTGGGCACGATCCAGGTCTGCGAGCACCTCCAGCAGGCGGGCAGTTGCTGCTCTTTGCCGGGCCAGGACCTCAGGACAGGCCCCTAGGAGGGAGACAAGAGGCCACAGGGGCTCAGCCAGTCCAGGGCAGGCTGCTGTAACCCGGACCCAATGGTTTCTCATGCTGAAGATGTGCCTTGTGCCCTGAGAACCCTAAAATCCTTGAGAATCCCCACACACAGCCCTGTGGCCTGATAATGGACTGGAAACAGGAGGACACAGGAGACAGTGGGGAAGTGCCTGCGAAGAAAAAGGGACCTCCTTAACCCCTTAGCTTCTTTTTTTGGGGGTGGAGGCAGAGTCTTGCTGTGTTGCCCAGGGTGCAGTGCAGTAGCATGATCTCAGCTCATTGCAACCTCCACCTCCTGGGCTCAAGCAATTCTCATGCCTCAGCCTCCCCAGTAGCTGGGATCACAGGTGTGCACCACCACGCCCGGCTAATTTTTAAATTTTTAGTAGAGACAGGGTTTCACCATGTTGGCCAAGCTGATCTCGAACTCCTGACCTCAAGTGATCCACCCACCTCGGCCTCCCAAAGTGCTGGGATTACAGGTGTGAGCCACTGCACCCAGCCTTTACCTTCTGAGGTACAGGAGCCCTTACCTGTGTCTGCCTCCAGAGTTGTATCCATGTTAGAATCCTCCAGTAATTTCAGCCTGGAAGGTAAGAGGGAGAAAGACAAGTCTGGTCCCTGATTCCCATTCCTGCTTCCTACCCCAGAAATTCTCTGAGAAATTAGTTTTCCTGAACCATCACCATCACCATCTACCATCATCATCATCATCATCTACACAGCAAACATTTCTAGAGTGCCAGATACTATTCTAAACCTTTTACATGTATTAACTCATTTAATTATCATGACAAACTCATATGAGGTAGGTATTTACTATTAGCTCCATTATACAGATGATCACTGAGACACAGAGAGGTTAGGTAACTTGCTTAAGGTCACACAGCATCAGCAGCAGCATCATTATCACTTATTGAAAGCTAACTATCTGGCCAGGCACCTACAAAGTGCTCTACCTGTATTAGCTCATTTGATCCTCAGGACAACCCACGAGGTCGCCACCATTATTATCCCCCTTTTCCAGATGCACTGGTTGGGTGCAGTGGCTCATGCCTGTAATCCCTGCACTTTGAGAGGGCAAGGCGAGACAGGTGGATCACTTGAAGTCAGGAACTGGAGACTAGCCTGGCCAACATGGTGAAACCCCGTCTCTACTAAAAATACAAAAACTAGTCAGGCGTGGTGGCAAGTGCCTGTAATCCTGGCTATGTGGGAGGCTGAAGCAAGAGAATCGCTTGAACCCAGGAGGCAGAGGTTGCAGTGAGCCAAGATCATGCCACTGCACTCCAGCCTGGGCAACAGAGCCAGACTCTGTCTAAGTAAATAAATAAATAAATTTTTTTAAAAAGAGATCACACAGCTAGTAAGTGGCCAGGTCACGATTTGAACCCAGACAGGTCAGCTTCAGAACCCACTCTATAATGAGTTGGGACAAATCTCTGTCACCAAATAACAGTGATAGTGATCCTCATGCCAGGAAGGGGAAGAGATCTATCCAAGGTCATTTAGCAAGCGCAGGGGGCCAGGATTTTATGTGAATTGTGCCAGGGTCTCTGGAGCTCCAGGTATTAAAAGATCCCAAGACCCAGTTCTGCATAAGGGACCCCTCCCACTGAGGATGCTTCCCAAGCCCTGACTGTGTAGACACCCAGTCCCCACCCTGGGCCAGGCCCCCGGGGAATATCCACCAACACACATGGGAAGAATGAATAAATGGACACAGCAAGGCCACGGTGGGGGGCTGGCCTGGCTGGTCATAGGAGGTGAAGTGGGATGGGTGGGGGCACCCACCTGAGCTGGTCCCGCCCCAGGAGCAGCTGCCGATACACTGTCTGGGCCTCAGCATCAGGATCCAGTGGGTCACTCCAGTCCCCCAGGGTGACAGCTGAGTGTGTACGGCTGCAGCCGGCGGCTGAGGGAACACAGCTTCATTCATCAGTAACTCCCTCTCCCCTTCCAGAAGCCTCCACAGCCAGGCATTCGCCAAGCCGTGCTCCTTCTTCCTGTAAAATCCCTCCTCAAACCTACTACTTCTAGGCCACACACGGTGGCTCATGCCTGTAATCTCAGCACTTTTGGAGGCTGAGATGGGAGGATCACTCGAGCCCAAGAGTTCAAGACCAGCCTGGGCAACATAGTGAGACCTTGTCTCTACAAATAATTTAAAAATTACCCTTGGGTCTGGAGCGGTGGCTCACGCCTGTAATCCCAGAACTTTGGGAGGCCAAGGTGGGTGGATCACCTGAGGTCAGGAGTTTCAGACCAGCCTGGCCAATGTGGTGAAATCCCATCTCTACTAAAAATACAAAAATTAGCCAGGCGTGGTGGCTCATGCCTGTAATCTCAGCTACTTGGGAGGCTGAGGCAGGAGAATCTCTTGAACCTGGGAGGCACAGATTGCAGTGAGCTAAGATTGCACCAGTGCATTCTAGCCTGGGCAAAAGGGTGAGACTCCATCTCACACACACACAAAAATATTAGCCTCACATGGTGGCACGTCTGTGGTCCCAGCTACTTGGGAGGCTGAGGTGAGAGGACTGCTTGAGCCCAGGAGTTTGAGGCTGCAGGGAGCCATGATTGCACCACTGCACTCCAGCCTGGGCAACAGAGACTCTGTCTCAAAAACAAAAATAAAAAAACCCACTACTTCCGTTGAATCTTACATCCTCCACTCTCATCCAGCCCCACTTCTGCTCCCCAGACTCTAGCAGTAGCCTCGCCTCTCCCGGTACTCCTCCCTCATTCTAGGCTCCAGTCACACAGACCCTTTTCCATCCGTCAGCCTACCTTGTCCCAACCTCTAGGCCTTTGCTCATGACACCTGCAACACTTCCTTACCCCCATCTCCCAGTTCTGTCTCCAATGCCGCTGCTTAACTTCTGCTCTACTCAGGTCACATTTAAGCAGCACCTCCTCCAGGAAGCCCTCCTTGAGTCCCCATCCTGAGGCTGGGTCAGAGGCATCCACTGGAATCTCAAACGTCTCATCTTGGCACTTATAACATTGTATTACATTGTTATACATTGTAATACATCATTATATATTGTATATACATTGTTAATAACAATGTCATTATTTTATATATTATTTTATATATATTTTATATATATTATATATTATTTTATATAATAACAATGTTATTATTTACAATGTTATACATTGTAATACATTGTTATACATTGTATATACATTGTTAATAACAATGTATAACATTGTATTAACAAAAGGCCGGGCACGGTGGCTCAGGCCTGTAATCCCAACACTTTGGGAGGCCGAGGAGGGCTTATCACCTGAGGTCAGGAGTTCGAGACCAGCCTGACCAACATGGGGAAACCCCGTCCCTACTAAAAATACAAAAATTAGCTGGGTGCAGTGGTACGCACCTATAAACCCAGCTAGTCAGGAGGCTGAGGCAGGAGAATCGCTTGAACCCGGGAGGCAGAGGTTGCAGTGAGCCGAGGTTGTGCCACTGCACTCCAGCCTGGGCAATAGAGTGAGACTCTGTCTCAAAAAAAAAAAAAATTATTGGGTTATGCACTCATCTTTCTTGAGAACAAGCTCATGATGTTTGAGTACCACTGGATGCTGGCACCTAGTGAGTACTTTAGAAATAACACGTCGCATACGCCAAGCAGCGTCCTATGCTCTTTGTGTAAATCAAGTCATTTAATTATCACAACTCCACGAGATAGGCACTGTTATCAACCTCATTTCACAGTTGAGGAGACTGAGGCATAGAGAGGTTGAGTAACTTGCCCAAGGTTGCACAGCCAGCCCAGGCGGAAGTGGGACACCCGCTGATTGACGGGTGGGGAGGGCGGAGCCTGCAGTCCGCCCTGCCCCCTCACCTGAGCGCTCAGCCTGGAGGCAGCAGGTCCAGCGCGCGCTGCGGAAGGCACCGGGGTGGCAGGCGGCCAGCTTGTTCGGGTTGGGGGCGCTGGCCTTGCGCAAGGCCGAGAGCCACTGGTTGAGCTCATTCACATTCTGCAGCGGGTGGGAGGCGATCAGGGGGCGGGTGGGAACAGAGGGACGCCCCCCGCTCCCCATCGCGGTGGGGTCTCACCTTGCACTGGAGGTAGGTGGTGTGCAGCGCCCCCGTGCCGTCCTGCGTCACCACCTGCATCACGTGGGGCAGTTGGAAGGCGCCCTCGTCTACGCGCTCCACGGCGCGGATGTGAGACACGGGGATGGAGTGACACATCTGGGGAAGAGGATTGTCGCTGCAGGATGGGCTGGGGGCTAGGGCCGGGGTGGGGACACCTTCCGTCTGGTTGTGTGCAGCAGGTGGAGTCAGTTCCCAGCGGCGGGACATTCAACCCTGTAAGTCTGTGCTCTGTGTGCTCGTCCATCCATCCATGTGAGCTGTTCCATGAGTCCTGCCCTATCCCCTTTTATTTTTTTAATTTTTATTTATTTATTTTTTTAACAGAGTCTCGCTCTGCCGCCCAGGCTGGAGTGCAGTTGCACGAGCTGGCCTCACTGCTACCTCCGCCTCCCAGGTTCAAGCGATTCTCCTGCCTCAGCCTCCCAAGTAGCTGGGATTACAGGCGTGCACCACCGCTCCCGGCTAATTTTTGTATTTTTAGTAGAGACGGGGTTTCACTATGTTGGCCAGGCTGGTCTCGAACTCCTGGCCTCAAGTGATCTGCCCACCCCGGCCTCCCAAAGTGCTGGGATTACAGGCATGAGCCACCGTGCCCAGCCACCTCTCTAAGTGACAACTTCTCTGGGCATCCATTTCCTTGTTAATAATAACTACCACTTCTATGGTACTTGGGACGCGATTCCAAGCACTTTACATTGATCAACTTATTTAATTATCACAACAAACTTCTGGGGTTGGTTCTGTTATTCTCTCCAACCTGCAGATGAGAAAACTGAGGTGCAAGAGGATAGATGACGCTTCCAAGGTCACTCATTGGGTGGACCCAAAATTGGAACCCAGAGAACTGACCCCTAGAATCTCCATTCTTCTGATAAAATAGAAACAGGAAGCGTGGGCTCCCTTCTCAGCGTTAGCCGTCATCATCTACTGGTGTGCACACAGCTCCCCATTCGGGAGATTCCAGCACGTGTCTCGGGGCATTCTAGTCATGAACGCCAGCCCCACAAGGGCAGGATTTTCACCTGTCTTGTTCACTTCTGTATCTCCAGTGCCTAGGACACTGGCACATAATAGGCACTCAATAAATGTTTGCTGAATGAATGAACGAGTGAATGAATGCTTGGATGGATGTGCCTGAACATCTGCACACGTTCCTAGTGAACACATTCAATTTTATGAGTCTGTCTAGCATGTGTCTAGATCCTGGTGGGAGCATTGGAGAGAGGCTCAGCATCATCCCTGTCCTGTGTGCATCCACATCTGGGAGGCGTATCCCCGCCACCGCATGTGCACATTCTGAAGGATGCATGATGGTGCCTGTCCATGTCCTGTGCCCACATTGGCCTGAACTTGTGAGCAGAGCCTGTCCTGAGAGTTTGTCGTTGTTAAGTTGCTATGGCATCTTGGGGCCTTGCCCCACTGTGGGCCTCAGTTTCCCCCTGGGTACAAAGAGGCAGCACACTGAAAAAGGCCACCCCTGGAAAGCCCTCCATAGTGGACTGGAACCCCACCTGCCACTCAGGACTCTTGGAGAAGGAGAGGGTCTCCCCGCTGAGCCAGACGTAGCGCTTCTTGAAGGCAAAGCGCGTGGCCAGGCCGGCAGGCTCCTCCTTGCGCTTCAGCAGATAGCCTTCTCGAACAATGGCCGAGGGCGGGAACAGGGCCCTGGCTGGGACACCAGCTTCTAGGAGATGGGAGAAGAGAGCGGTGGACAGTGAGCCCTCCCTAACCAGGCTCACCTTGCTCCACTAGCATGCCCAGGGAGGACCTCAGTGGACGGGCATGGTTCTCTGCTCCCCTAGAGGCAGGAGGATGAGCGCGATGACTTCAGACCACTCCCTCAATAGGGGATGCAATCATGGAGGCTGGGAGGAGGGGGAGGGCAGAGTAGCCCTTGAAGACCTCTCTCCAACCAGAGAAATCTGCAGACAGTATGCAGGCAGCCAGCAGGGGCAGCCACACCCTATGGGGTCCCATCCAGGCAATGTCCAGCATTTAATCATGCTCAGGGAGCCAGGACACAGCCCCGCCACCCCACCCCAGCACCATAGGGACCCCACCATGCCACAGCCAGGTTCTACGTTCTGACAGGTTGCTTCAATGGGACTGGGATCCAACTAGGTTATGACCTGAGCCCCACATTATGGTATGGACTCAACCACAACTTTCCTGCTACAAATCATCCTGTGATTCTGTTTCACTCCAAGTCAAAGCTAAAATTCTTCCCAAGGCCTATGAGGCCCCACAGGATCTGGCCCCCTCACCTCTCTGGCCTTGCCTCTTTGCCTCCCCACTGCCCCCAGTTCACTCTTCTTCACGGGTGTCCTCAGTGCTGCTCTGTGTCCTACCTCAGGGCCCTTGCACATGCTGTGCCCTGCCTGGCACACTCTTCCCCAGGATCCTCAAGGCTCTCTAACTTTTCCCTTTCAGATCTCTGTTCTTTCCTCCTTTTTTTTTTCCTTCTTAGCACTTACAGCTCTCTAACATACCACATAACTTGCTTATTTATCTTGCTAATGGCCTGTGGTCCCCAACAAAATAAAAGCTCTGTGAGATCAGATTTTCTCTGTCTTGTTCACTGCTGCATCCCCAGCACCTAGAACTGTGCCTGTTATTTAGTAAGCGCTTAATAGATGTTTGTCAATGGCATGCACACCATGCCACGATCCTGCCCACAGCCATATCCCCACACTGGCTGGGGATGGGCCTGGAGGACAGCACCTGAGCTCTGTTCATCTCTGGGGCCTAGCACAGTAAGTATCAGGAAATGTTAGTTGACTGACCCACAGATTCACATTCTTAGTGCTGAGGAGCTGGAGGGGGAAAGGGGAAGTCCCTGAGTGGTGTCTCAACTGGGCTGAGAAGCCAGATGTGGCCGGACCACAGGAACTCACCTTCATCCCCATCCACATCCACCAGCCGGTCCAGGAAGTCTCTCACACGTGAGACACACTGCAGCAGGAAGGGGTGCAGGGGGGCCATCCACAGTTCCTTGCCTTGGCCCAGCTGCTGGCCCAGGTTTCCAATGCTCTGCACAGCCTGGAGCAAAGAAGCGAGGGATGCCGGGGCCAAGGTCACAGCAGAGGGTAGGGCCCCTCCTGGCTCCCAAATCAGTGCTCAATAAAAGAAGACTCATATTGCCGGGCACAGTGGCTCATGCCTGTAATCCCAGCACTTTGGGAGGCCGAAGTAAGCGGATCACTTGAGGTCAGGAGCTTGTGACGAGCCTGGCCAACATGGTGATACCTCATCTCTACTAAAAATGCAAAAATTAGCTGGTCGTGGTGGCTCACGCCTGTAAATCCAGCTACTCCAGAAGCTGAGGTGGGAAGATCACTTGAACCGAGGAGGCAGAGGTTGCAGTAAGCCAAGATCGTGCCACTGCACTCCAGCCTGGGTGACAGAGCGAGACTTGTCTCAAGGAAAAAAATAAATCAATAAGAAGACTCAACACCTTCCTTGGGTGATGTCTGTTTCCCCTTCCTCTTTTTGGAATCTGCACTCCCCACTAACCTTATTCTGTTCCCTCCCGAGCCCAGATCCTCCCCAAGAACTGCTCAGTCCTACCATGGTACTCTCATGCAGAATCTCAAGTTGTTGCCCTTTGCAAATGATGATCTAATTCATACTAAGGTGTGAATGCCTGCTAGCCTGTTTTCCACTTTCCTTCTGGAAGGGTTGGGTTTTCATTCCCAAAGGGGAAATTGGAGTGCATGATGACTGCCTTCACCCTTGGGATGGAATGCTAACGGTGGTGTTTCAGACTTGGGTTTCTTCGGATGTTCTTTGGGTCTTCTGTGGGTCTGGCCTCCCAGCTCTGCTCCTACCATGCTTTTTTCCCTGGCTAAAGTACCTAGGATGGGGGAAACCCATGGCTGGCACCTTGGCAAGCAACAGCAGTGAGCGGCTAGTCTGGGGGTCCGCGTGTTGGTCCCGAAGGTCAAACAGCTTTGGGGTAAGGATGGCAGGTGCGAAGAATCGCAAGAAGAGAAATCCACTGATGGCCAGGTACTTCACATCCTGCTGGGAGGAGCAGAAGGTAAGAGGAGCCCCCCAAACCCACTTCTCAGCTGCGTAAACTGAGGCAGCAAGGACTAGAAATTCGTGGTGCAAAGAGAAGTAGGATGGGGAATTGACCAGGAAGCCACACCGGCTGGCCGAGGAAGTTTTTCCTCTCTGGGCCTCAGTTTTCTCACCTGGAAAATGGAATAACAAAACCAATCCTACAAAAGCAGATTTGGCCAAATGTCCTCAGAGTTGGCTTTGTGCCAAGCACTATGCCAAGAGCACAGCCCTAAGAGGGAGGCACCATCATGAGTCCCATTTTACAGATGAGGAAGCAGAAGCTCAGAGACATCAAGCGATTTGCCCAGGGTCACACAGCTAATGAGTGGCAAAGTCAGGATTCAAACCCAGACCTGTGATTTATGATAATAACAGCAGCAGGATGGATACCTCTCTATACATTCGCTTATTTAATACTCAACCCAGGAAGGATCACATCTCCATTTTACAGAGGAGGCAACTGAGGCCCAGCAAGGGAAAGTCCCTTGCCTAAGTCTGCACAGCCATAAGCGGCAGAGCCAGGAGTTGGACTTAGGCAGGATTTGATTATTTTTCTTTTTTTTTTCTTTCTTTTTTTTTTTTTTTGAGGCAGAGTCTTGCTCTGTTGTTCAGGCTGGAGTGCAGTGGCACGATCTCTGCTTACTGCAACCTCCACCTCCCAGTTTCAAGTGATTCTAGTGCCTCAGCCTCCCAAGTAGCTGGGATTACAGGCATATGCCACCACACCTGGCCAGTTTTTGTTTTGCTTTTTTTGTTTTTAGGTTTTTTTGTGTGTGTTTTTTTTTTTTTTTTTAGTAGAGATGGGGTTTTACCATGTTGGCCAGGCTGGTCTTGAACTCCTAATCTCAAGTGATCCAGCCGCCTCAGCCTCCCAAAGTCCTAGGATTACAGGCATAAGCCACCTCGCCCAGCCAAGGATTTGAACTCTCTGTTCTTCACCACACTCTCCTGCCATTCAACACCAGCTACCAAGGAGCCCTCACTAAGTATTAGAAACCAAGCCTGAACTATCACATTTAGTCCTCAAACAACTCCATGTGGGTAGGTAAGTGCTATTATCCCATTTTTTCAGATGAGGAAACTGAGGCTCAGTAGTGAACCCAGTCTGATGGGCTCCAGAGTCCATCCTGTGTGCACCTCCCCACCTCCAACCTCTGCCCTCTACAAACTGTAGAGTATGGTTCCCCTCCATGTGAATCCGGGGCCTGGCCCATCTAAAGGTAACGCTGGTTCCCCAGCACCAGCAGAGGTGACTCAGGGAAGGGTGCCCCTCCATCCTGGGTGCATCTTGCTCCCCCCAAACCAGCTCCCCACCCACCTCTCACACTTGCCAGGCTATATTTAGCCTGAGAGTCTGCGCCTGTGTTTATTCAGAGGTTGTAGTCACACATGAAACAATGCCCTCCCCGGGGCGTGTGCCACCTTCCTGGGGCATCTTGGCCTTGGCAGTGACCCCTGTAGGAGCTGGGTACCTAGAACTGCCCAGAGGGAGCATCTTCCCCTCCATCTGGAGCCCTGAACTGTCCCCCTCCATCTGGAGCCCTGAACTGTCCCACCACTACCCCACTGCCATCTGTAGTCCAGGGTAATTTCAGTCTTCACATCAGCTCATTTGTTTCCTCCTTTTTGAAGGCAAAGAACCGGTGTCAGTGCAGCAGAGAAAGGGGCTTCCCTGGGTTCCCCGGGCCGGAGGAAGTCCCTGCTCCAGGGCCACCTTGGGGGCTGAGAACTAGAGGACACTTGGGTGTCACTGATATTGGCTCACCATACGAGGTCTAGGCTGTCTGGGGAGCTGGCCTCCTCCCTTTCTTCCCTGTTCCCTGCCACAGCTGTGCCCCACTTAACACCTCTGCTGGCAGCCCAGGTGAGAGCCCAGCAAGGTGAGGTGTAAGCCAAGCTACATCCCAGTCTCAAGGCCCAGAGCTTACTCCTCAGCTGGGGAGGAGGGGGAGGAGGGGAGAGACCCCAGCTGGGAGTCTAGAAAACCCTTGGCCAAGTGTTTTGCCTCTCTGGGCCTCAGTTTCCCCATCTGTAAACAGGAAGTGGAGAGAGATGTGGCATAAATCAAAAGCTCTCAAATGAGGCTGTAGGAAGTGGGTTACGACATTGCCAAAATGTAACAGGTCTTAGGTCTTTCTGCAAAGTGAATCCTGGTCTGATACATCAGCACTACGTAAGAGTTCATCTCACCTGATGTTATCTGCAAGTGAGGACAATGACAGCCACCTCGGGAGGTGTGCTGAGCATTCAACCAGGGGGTCCCAAACTGGCCAGTCCAACCACAAATGTTTTGTAATGCATGACCCAAAGTGTTTTTGTGTGTTTGGTTTTCAGGTGAATTCATGCTGACATTTTAAAAATAAGAGATCAGGCCGGGCGCGGTGGTTCACGCCTGTAGTCCCAGCACTTTGGGAGGCTGAGGCAAGGGGACTGCTTGAGGCTAGGAGTTCGAGACCCTCTGGGCAACACAGTGAGACCCTGTCTCTAGAAAAATAAATAATTAGCTGGGTGTGGTGGTGCACCCCTCTAGTCCCAGCAACTCGGGAGGCTGAGGTGGGAAGATCACTCAAGCCTGGGATAGAGGCTGCAGTGAGCTATGATTGTGCCACTGCACTCCAGCCTGAGCAACAGAGCAAGACCCCGTCTCAAAAGTTAGTAATAAGTAAATAAATAAATAACCTCACATAAAATCCAGAATCTCTAAAGATCTGGCAGTACTGGGCTTCCATTCCTATATGGCAGTGATCCCCTGGAGCTGCCCCCTTTAGACAAGATCTGGGGGCTTCAGTTGGCCACAGTCTTCATGTCTCCCTACCACCCCACGCGCTGCTTGCTTTGTTCTTGCGCCTCGTCTGCCTGAAACTCACAGCATCTGAGTTTTCAACTTTTCTATCCATGTTGGTATAGCACTACACCTGCAGGGATTCATTTTTAGACTTTATTCTGGGTGTTTCTGAGCACTTACTGTATGCCAGATCTGCGTTCTTCTCTCTTACTTCCTCTCTCTCTCTCTATTTTACATCTGGAATTTCAAGAAGCACTTACTTTGTGCCAGACTCTATTATTTGCTGGTTATGAGCACAGACTCAGGAGCCAGCCTGCCTGGGTGAGTGCCAGTCCCAATATCACTCCTTTCTACCTGTGT
This sequence comes from Homo sapiens, assembly GCF_000001405.40. NCBI lineage: Eukaryota > Metazoa > Chordata > Mammalia > Primates > Hominidae > Homo > Homo sapiens. Next base: position 113,111,413 of record NC_000012.12, read on the forward strand.
GACTTAAGCTCTCTGGGCCTCAGTTTCCTCCTCCGTAAAATGGGAATAATCCTGGTATCCACCTCACAGGCTGCGTGTGATGGTTAGATAGGGTAATAAATACATAAATCACCTAAAACAAGATATGGACCATGGTCAGGCTACATAGAGTGTTAGCTGCCATTATTATATTTATTATTGGTATTTATTTGTTTATTTTGAGACAGAGTCTATCTCTGTCACCCAGTCTGGAGTGCAGTGGCGCAATCTCGGCTCACTGCAACCTCTGTCTCCTGGCTTCAAGCGATTCTCCTGACTCAGCCTCCGGAGTAGCTGGGATTACAGGTGTGAGCCACCATGCCCAGTTAATTTTTGTATTTTTAGTAGAGACAGGGTTTCATCATGTTGGCCAGGCTGGTCTCGAACTCCTCACTTCACTTGAAAGTGATCCACCCTCCTCGGCCTCCCAAAGTGCTGGGATTACAGGCGTGAGCCACTGCGCCCGGCCTATTTTTATTATTACTATCATTCTTGGGACCCGGACCCTGCCAGGAACGCTGTCCCCACTTCTGCCAGGACAGAATGCTCTAGTGCCGGCAGCCTAGGTTCTGGTCACAGTTCTGTCCTGACTCCTCCGAGTGACCCCGGACAAGCTCCGGCCTGTCCCCAGCCTCAGCCTCCCATCCTGGCGCACCTGGTGCTCGGCCTGGGGGAAGCGCTCCTCCACTCGCCGGTGCAGCTGCTTGAAGGCGAGGCGCATGGCGGGCGGGCAGCGCCCCACGGAGCCCACGATGGCGTCCACGATGGGCCCCAGGTAGCCCGTCAGCAGCCCCAGGCTGGTCTCCCGCATCTGCTCCTCCGAGAGTGCGCCTTTGAAGGAGATCCTCCTGGAGGGGCCGGCGGAGCAGCTCAGCCTCGGGGCACAACATCTGCCTGCTCCAAACCCTCCACCGGCCCCGCTGAGCTCCGAGAGGACTCATCTTCCCTCCACGTCCGCAGCCTCCTTCCTGCCCCTTCCCACCGGGTTTCTTGCTGTTGCTTAAACACGATGAGCTCATTCCCATCCTGCAGCCTTTGCACTGGCTTATCTCCGTGCCCAGAACACTCTCCCGTTAAATGTTAAATCTCCGCAACACTCCCTTCCTCACCCCCTGCAAGTCTTTGCTTAGATGTCCCCTCCCCTGCGAGGCTGCCCCTGTCCTCACCCTCTGGAATATTGCAGGCCTCTCCCCTCCCTCGTTTATTCCATTCCCTGGTCCCATTCAATAACCTTTTCCCAACCAGGCCCGGTGGCTCATGCCTGTAATCCCAGCACTCTGGGAGGCCGAGGGGGCAGGTCACTTGAGACCAGGAGTTCAAGACCAGCCTGGCCAACATGGTGAAACTCCATCTCCACCAAAAAATACAAAAATTAGCCCAGCGTGGTGGTGCACGCCTATAATCTCAGCTACTTGGGATGCTGAGGCAGGAGAATCGCTTCAATATGGGAAGTGGAGGTTGCAGTGAGTCGAGATCGCACCACTGCACTGCAGCCTGGGTGACACAGCGAGACTCCATCTCAAAAAATAAATAAATAAATAAATAAACCTTCTTCCTCCAGTTGCTCATTATCTGTCTCCCCCCAGAATAGGGACTTGGGACTATTTGTTCCCTACTGTATCGTCAGTGTTCAGCCCAGAGCCTGGCACTCAATCATTGTTTTGTTTTGTGGATGCTAGAACAGCACTTTTCCATCTGCAATTATTGTGTTCCTTTCTTTCTTTACAGATTGAGGGTCTGTCTTGCCCACACCTAGAGTGACAGCTGGGGGTTCTCAGCCCCACTGTGTCCTGGACCCAACGTGCTGAGCCCTGGACTTGTCTCTGGCATGGTCTCTTTTAATCCTAACAGCAACTTGATGGGGTAAGTAGCCTTACTTGTTCCCGTTTAACAGATAAGAAAACTGAGGCTCAGAGAGGTTACTGGGGAGATGGCACAGCTGAGAATAGAACCCAGGACTGCCAACTCCACAGCCTGCCTGCAACCCTGCCCTGTCCAGGTCCCTACATGCCCCTGTCCCCATGGGTGCCCACTGAGTTTCCTCCATCGTTATCAAGTGTGCTAGGAAAAGCCCTCAACTTGGAGTCTCACAGATGGACTGTGTCCTTCTGCTCAGGGCCTGGGATCAAATCCTTGCTCTGTAATTTCCTGGCTGTATGACCTTAGGCAAGTGACCTTCCCTCTCTGAGGCTCAGTTGCATCATCAGTAAGAGGGGGTCATGATGCCTGCCTCTAAAGTAGTCAGAAGGTGTGGACAGCACAAGGAAAGATCCTCTCCTGTCTCTGCCACGGTCCCCAGTGGATACCCCAGCAACAATTTTCCACAGCTCCAGGCTTGTGGGTTAGACAGGAGAAGGTTCTGGAGAGAAAGGAGGAGCCCACGGAGGGGTGGAATGACCCCCAGCCACTGCTCTGCTTCCTCCCAATCTCATTGAGCTCTCCACGATCTCCCTTGCAGGCAGGCCCACTCAGAGACCGCCAACACCACAATAATAAAAATCGCTAATGTTGGGGACCCCCAGCAGCACAGCAGTAAATATCACTAATGTCGAGGAGCCCCAGCAGCACAGTAATAAAGATCACTAATGCTTGTGGAGCACATGCATGACTCAGTTAACGGAGCAGAGGTCATGAGCCCCACGTTTCAGGTGATAATATTCTCACCAGCTGGATAAGGGACATTTTAGAAGTAGTGTGTGCATTAAGTAGAAGAACATTGGATCAATATTTTAGGTTTTTTAATTTTAAAAAATCTGATTATGCCAGGCACGGTTGTTCACGCCTGTAATCCCAGCACTTCGGGAGACCAAGGCAGGAGGATTGCTTGAGCCCAGGAGTTCGAGACCAGCCTGGGCAATGTGGCAAAACCCTGTCTCTGCTAAAAATGTAAAAACTTAGCTGGGCATGGTGGTGTGCGCCTATAGTCCCAGCTACTCAGGAGGCTGAGGTGGAAAAATTACCTGAGCCCGGGAAGTTGACGCTGCAGTGAGCTGTGGTCACACCACTGCACCCCAGCCTGGGTGACAGAGTAAAACCTTGTCTCAAAAAAAAAAAAAAAAGAAAAAAAGGAAAAGAAAAGAAGCAACTTAACCACTGAGGAACAGAAGTTTTGGCAACTTTGTCCACCAGTAGTGGCAAAGCTAAGATTTGAACCCAGGGCGCTTAGCATCAGAGTCCTGACCATAACCCCTATACTACACAGCCTGATGGTTTAAGGGCTTGTGTGTGAGGCTTTCAGCTCAGCCACCGAGCTCCTGAGCAGCTGTAGCCCCAGGGTGGGTGGCAGTCAGCATGAACCCAGCCCCCAGACAAGGCTCCGGGTAGCCAAAGGGGCCCGTCGGAAGGTCAGGGTCCTCAGGCTTTGCTCACCGGGTGCGGCCCAGGTCCATCTTGCAGGGATCCAGCTCCATGTACTTCTTCTCCTCAAAGACACGGCTAATCACAGGCTTCAGGACCTCGTGCAGGTAGGGCATGCCCACGAGCTGGGGGCAGGGGGCACCACACGGGGTGGGGCTGAGGGCGAGGCCGGGGCATGCCCATGAGCTGGGCGCAGGGGGGACCATGCAGGAAGAGGTTCAGAGAGAGGCCAGGGCTGGGGTAGGGGACACATCCAGGTGCAACTCAGGGCAAGGCCGGGCACCAGCCGCCAGCACTGCAGCTCGGCTGCTCAGTGCTGTCTGAAGCCAGCTAAGTGAGGGAGCCAGGTAGGCACTGGGAAGGAGGTACCCGAGGAAGCTGCGCCTGGTCCCGCAGGCCTTCACCTACTCACCTTCATAAACTGTTCCATCGACTTGGATGCCAGGGAGTTAGAACGGAAGAGGGTGTTGGGGTCCACTGGGAGGACAGGAGGAAGTGTTTGCTGGGATTTAGGGAGCTGAACCCAGCTCACCCCACTCACCCAAGGTGGGAGTCATGATTCTTCCAGCCCCAAGAATCAGGAAGACCCAAAACATCAACCCCATTCACAGTACAGAGGCCCGGAGTGGTTAAGTGAATTGCCTGAGGTCACACAGCCCACAAGTAGCAAAGCCAGGGCCTGAACCTGCAATTGGGCTCCCAACTGTCTGGAGGTGCACAGCACAGGGACCCACAGAAAAAGGAGCCCTTTTTCCCTCTGCCTGAGGCCTCCCCATTCCTCCCCCAGGACCCTCCTGCAAGCCCACCATTGAGGGCGGTGATGTCGGGGGTTGTGCGGGCAACTCACTGGTCCGAGCCACCTCACGCCGGGTGAGATAGTCCAGAAAGCGCCCAGCCAGTCCCCGGCCAAGAAAGAGTTTCACCAGCTTGGTGGCAAGGTCCTGGCGGCAGTCCCCCAAGGTCAGCTCTTCCAGCAAAGCCAAGGGGCTAGCAGTGTCCTCCTGGGTGGGGGCGGGAGACAAAGATGACCTCGGCCCCTGGGACCCCAAAGCAGATGGGCCTAGATAGGGCTCCGTGAGGCAGGGGGAGGCCAGGATCCAGACCCCCGGCACCCGCCTGATAGCATTGCTTGCCTGACGCACCCACCTCTGCTGGCCCCTGCACAGACTCCATGAGCAGCTCCATGAGAGGCTGGTAGCACTGGGAGGGCAGGACGCGGTCCTCAATCAGGCGTACCTTCACTCGCAGGGCACCCAGGTTCCCCCTGTCCAGGATCAGATCATAAGAAAATGAAAGATCTGGCCGAACACGATGGCTCACGCCTGTAATCCCAGCATTTTGGGAGGCCAAGGTGGGCAGATCACTTGAGGTCAGCAGTTTGTGACCAGCCTGACCAACATGGTGAAGCCCCATCTCTACTAAAAATACAAAAATTAGCCGGGCGTGATGACACACGCCTGTAGTCCCAGCTACTCAGGAGGCTGAGGCAGGAGAATTGCTTGAACCTGGCAGGCAGAGGTTAAGATTGTGCCGCTGCACTCCAGCCTGCGTGACAGAGCGATACTCTGTCTAAAAAAAAAAAGAAAGAAGGAAAAGAAAATGAAAGATGCCCTTATGGAAGAGCACAAGTGCGCATGGGCAGGTGTGGAGAGCCAAGAGAGGCCAATGGGAACACATGGGAGGAGGGCAGGTGTTTGCAAAACAAGACAGGTGTAGGCAGGTATAGACAAGTGTGGACAGGTATGAACAGGGGTAGGCAGCTGTGAACAGGCATAAATAGGAATGTATACAAACAACATAAACAGGCAGGTGTGGCCAGAGTGGATAGATGTGGCCAGTGTACACAAATATGTACAGGATGTGTGGACAAGTGTAGATGATTGTTGACAGTGTGAACAAGCATGGACAGGTGTGTATAGGTGCGGCCAGTATAAACAGGTGTGAAATGATATTGATGGGTATAAACAGGACAGGCAAGTGGAGATGGTATAAACAAGTGTGTTCAAGAATGAACAGTATGGAGAGGTGTGGAAGGACCCAAAGTTCTAAATATACATCAAGTGTGAACCAACATGTTTGCACATGAACAGGTGAACGGGTGTAAAGTGAACTTATGTGGATTTATGTAAACACCTTGAGAGACATTCCATAGACAGTTGTTAAATGGATGAATGCATGAAGTGGCATAGTGATAATGTGTGGGCTGGCATGGGCTCTGCCCGCAAGCTGTGGATGCTGCCCGGCATGGCTCCAGCCTGGCCCCCTCCCTCTGCACCCACATTTACCCAGAATCCTCCTCGGCTCTGGGAAAGGGCAGGAGGCGGAACCAGCCTTTAGGTGGCTTCTGCTGGAGGGTCTTTGGAGAGAACTCCACCTTTTGAGAGAGACACACAGACCCTCAGCCGGGCCCTGGCCTGCCCTGCCCTGCCTGGCTCAGGTCTCACCTAGCCCTGGAAGAACAGACTGCCCACCCACAGAGGGGCAGAATGGCCTGCCAGGGGACCCCTCCTTCTCTCCTACAAGTCCCAAATTATTAGCTCCTGCCAGGACACTGAGGGCTTCTGAGGGCCTACCAGGGACACTTAATTTACAGTTGAGGAAACTGAGGCTCAGCGATGTGGAGTGATTTGCCCAAGGTCACACAGCTGCTAGAGATAGCATGTCTGGACTGAGTGTATTTTCAGCTCTGTTTAGGGACATAAATTTCTTCTATCAAAAGGCATAAGGACAGCCCTGGAGGGACCCAAGCCCCACACTCTCTCTCTTTTTAAATAACTTTATAGAGACGTAATTCACATCCTAAACAATTCACCTTTTAAAAGTGTACAATTCAATGATTTTTAGTATATTCACAGACTTACCGCAATTAGTTGTGCCGCTGATTCCAGAACATTGTCTATGAGCCCTAAAGAGCCTGCACTCATTACCAGTCACTTCGTGCCCCCCAGCCCCTGACAACCACGAATCTATTTTCTGTGTCGGTAGATTTGCCTATTCTAGACATTTCGTATAAATGGAATCATATGTGTTTTGCAGGGGCTGGCTTTTTCCACTTAGTGTAATGGTTCATCCACGTGCCAGTACGGTAAGTCCTGACTCATAACGTATAAGGAAATCAAATGTACCATGAGCTAATTACTATAAACAAGAATGAAGGCTGGGTGGGTAGCTCATGCCTGTAATCCCAGCACTTTGGGAGGATGAGGCGGGCAGATCACTTGAGGTCAGGAGTTCAAGACCAGCCTGACCAACATGATGAAACCCTGTCTCTATTAAAAATACAAAAATTACTCAGATGTAGTGGTGTTCACCTGTAACCCCAGCTACTTGGGAGACTGAGGCAAAATAATTCCTTGAACCCAGGAGGTGGAGGTTGCAGTGAGCTGAGTTCATGCCACTGCACTCCAGCCTGGGCAATAGAGGGAGATTCCTTCTAAAAAATAAAAATAAAAAAAATAAACAAGAGTTAAGTTCCTACAGCATACAGTATGTCATTTTGCTTAAGGCTGCAGTTTCCAAGAACCTATGGATGACATTAAATGAGGACTTACTGTACTTCATTCCTTTTTATGGCTGAATAATATTCCATTGTATCGATAGACCACATTTTGTTTATCTATAATGGACACTTGAGTTTTTTTCCATTTTGGGCTGTTATGACTAATGCTGCTATGAACAGTAATGTCAGAGTTTTTGTGTGAAGATAAGTTTTCATTTCTTTGGGGTATGTACCTAAGAGTGGAATTGCTAGGTCATAGAGTAACTCTATCTTTAACTATTTGAGGAAATGCCAGGCTGTCTCCAAAGACAGGGAAACCAAGAGAAAGAACCTGAGCCCAGGACTTCCAGGAGTAGGAGTTAAGGGCGTTAAGTCTGGAGTCAAAGAGATCTGAACTCAGATCCTGGCTCTGCCCTTTCTTAGCCATATGACCTTGAAAAAGCCACTTAGCCTCTCTGAGCCTCAATGTCCCCATCTGTAAAATGCGGATAGCAACAGTCCCAGCCTCATAGGGTAGCCATGAAGGTTAAGTAATGAGGCTCTGTGGGAGGGACACTCAGCACAGGGCCAGCACATAGTCATCTGTCATGCTCTCATCCCAGAATGAGAATCTGGGCCCGTCCTGTGATCTTGGATAGGTTCCTGTACCTTTGACAGCCTCAGTTTCCTCACCTGTACAACAGAGCAATGAAACTGCAACACTCAGGCCTAACCAGGGGAACCTGATGAGGCAGCTGTACATCCACCCTTCTGAGAGCCAGGAGGCTCAGCCCGTCTCATCTTTCTTCCCCCTTGGAGGCACTGGGGAGCCATGGAGGGTATTGTAGGGAATGAGGCTCACCATGCCCAAGAAGTCATTCTTGCCCACCATGTCCCAGTCCCAGAGCTCCACCCGCAGTGGGGACGGGGCACCTGGCATCTCCCGCAGCTCCAGCACTTCATCCCAGTGCGGGAAGCGAGTCTTCTTGATGGTCTGAGGGCGAAGGAAGTGGTCTGTGAGTGGGAGAGCTGATGGGGACTCCTGCCCCACCACCAAATGCCCCACTCCTTCCTGGCTTCATTCCCCACCACTCACTGAGGTCTCCAAGCTCTGGCTGCCCCAAAACACACGTGCAAATGGGTCAGATGTGCCAGAGATGTCTCTGGGAGCCAGGTCCCTGGGAACAGATGGGGAAAGGAGTGAGGAAACACGGCACCCAAGTTGGGCCTTGGAAAGGCTGTTAAGAGTAGATCATTCCAATGTCGCTGGTTTCCAAGGCAACAAACTGTTCCATGTAGGGGTCCAGCTAGGGACACCCCTAACCATGACCGTCCAAACCCAGTATCTTCCTGTCACCACCCTATGGGGAGGCACTTGTATATCCCTATTTTTCAGATGAGGAAACTGAGGCACCAAAAGGTCATATCCTACATCACAAAGCCCAGCAAGTAGAAGTGCAGCAGGGAGGGGGAAAAGAGAGCCTCAGATTCTCTGGAGGCCCCAGATGGGAAACTTGATGCAAAGGTTCAAAGCCTGGCTTTGCACTCATTGGCTAGCGGACACTAGGGAAAGTCACTTCCCCTCTCTAAGTCTTCATTTCCTTACCTGGAAAATGGGAGTAATAACAGACCAACCTCATAGAGCCGAGGGTTAGATTGGATGATGTGTGTAAAGGGCCAAGCATAGCACCTGGCAGGTGATGGGTGCTTGGTTCATTTATTCATTCAACAAACACCCATGCCCACACCTTGTCTAGGACCCAAGAGAAAGCATGAGGCAGGGACTCCTTGCCATTGGTTGCCATGACAACCCAAAAGTCTTACTCCAGGCAGCTTCCCCATCCCTCCTTCTTGACGTTCTCCAAACCCAGGAACACACCACCACCCCACCCCCACACCAGGGGCTGCTTCCTTCTTCCTCCTGCTCCCTTCCCACCCCTGCTTAGCATCCAAAGCCTTCTTCGGTTTCCTAGGAGCTGGCCCAGTTGCTAAGCGACAGCAATCAGTCCCTCTCATGCCTGCAAGGATCCTGCACAGCCTTGTGGCTGAGGAAGGGGCCATGGGCTCAAGGAAGACCAGGAGCCTCTGCCCCCTGCTGAGTCCCTCAGCCTGTCACCTGCCTCCCTGGTTCTCCCTCAACCAGACTCTAGGAAGCCCCAGCTGAGGCCAAGGCTGGAAGCAAAAATCTGGAGGCGGTGGGAGAGGCTCAGAGAGGGCAAGGAAGGGCTTTATGGTCACACAGCAAGCTGGAAATTGGAGGTCCTCCCCAATCTGGGCAGGGATTTTCCTAAAAATGAGAGCTGGGGAGGTGAAAAACAGGCAGAAAAACAGGATGAGAGAGGAGTGGGGGAAGGGTGGAGGTATTTGAGGGAGCAAAATGACAGAGAGCTGAGGAAGGGAAAAAGGGATGGCCATGACAAGTAGGCAAGAGGGAAGATGGGTGTCCCATGAGCTGGTGCCCCTAGAGGGCCACCTGTGGGTTTTCCTGGTCTTGCATCCATCTTCCATCTGATTTTTCTTTGGGACAGGACCTATCTCCTTCTCACCACCCCCCTCTCACATGACTTAGTGGGGTCCAATCCCTCCCTCCGCTCCAGTAATGGGCTTGTGACTCAGGCCTGATCCATTATTCAGTGTAATTGGTTCAGAGATAGACATGTGCCCCAGCTTGAGCCAGTAAAAATTAATCCCAGGACATTGGTTGGAAATGGTAGGAAATAGAAGTGATTTTTCTGTTGGAGTGGCTAAGCTGGCAGGGTGCCCGCCTGGAGTTGCTAGGGCCATCTCTCACCTGGGGAGAGTCTGCCTAAGAATGAAGCTAACACAGAGACCAGCAGAGCTAAAAGACAGATTCCTAATGGCATCGTTTGAACACCTGGACCCAGCCATGCCTGAAGCTACATGTCAGTCATATAAGCCAATAAAGTAGCTCTTTTGCTTAAGCCAGTATGAGTTGGGTATTTGTCAGTTACAATTTAATGACTACACCTCCACACTCACCTGTCACCTGTCATCCTGAGTGTCTGGTCTGTTGCTGCTAGTCCCTGGGGACTCAACAGGATTTTGCCCCCAGGAACTTACAACCCAGTGAGCTTGGACTGTTTGTCCACACAGGGAACCTGACTGCCAGCCCAGAAGTGCCCCAGGACTGAGGAGGTCCCAAACGCCAGGCAGCAGGGGAGACCCAGGGGACTCCTGCTCATTCTCAGACCACCCTCCACACCACCTCCACCTTAAGCATACCTGGCCTGAAGCACATGGCAGCGAAGGCAGCGGCCCTGCCCATCCTCCAGCATCTGCACTGACAGGCAGATCTCACCCTGCACTTCTGCATCTGGGTCCACTCGGCTCAAGTTAATCCAGCTGTCAATCCCTGAAGGGCACAGGCACTAACATTTATGAAGCGCCTACCATGTACTGGGCATTGTGTTAACTTAAAAATTCAATTAACATTATTTTCATTTTTTTTTTTTTGACACAGGGTCTGGTTCTGTTGCCCAGGCTGGAGTGCAGTGGCACAATTTTGGCTCACTGCAACCTCTGCCTCCTGGGCTCAAGCGATTCTCCTGCCTCACCCTCCCGACCAGCTGGGACTTTAGGCGTGCACCACCATGCCTGGATAATTTTTGTGTTGTTCTGTAAAGATGGGGTTTCATTATGTTGCCCAGGCTGGTCTCAAACTCCTGAGATCAAGCGATCCACCCACCTTGGCCTCCCAAAATGCTGGGATTACAGGCATGAGCCACTATGTCCTGCCTCAATTAAAATTAAAAATGTGTCAAGACCCTGGCTTCTGATATAGGTGCTGTAATTATCCCCATTTTCAGATGAGGAAAATGAGGCACAAGGAGAAAGAGTTTTGTCCATGGTCTCACAGCTAGCAAATGGCAGAGCTGGAATTTGAATGCAGGCAGTATAGTTAGTTCTAGGGCCAATGCTCGTAGCCATGTGCCATCACACACTTCCCCCTGGTATAGAAAGAACTTCATCATGTAATCCCAACATACTCTCCCCTCAAAAAAATCTTGGACATTTCTCCCCTCTGTATTTCTCTCAACACTTTGAAGATATTGTTCCACTGAATTCTAGCTTTCCATCACCAGGCTGGAGTGCCGTGGCACAATCTCAGCTCACTGCAGCCTCAGCCTCCCAGGCTTAAGCGATCCTCCTGCCTCAGCCTCCCCAGTAACTTGGACTACAGATGTATACCACCACAGCTAGCTAATTTTTTGTGTTTTTTGTAGAGACGAGGTTTTGCCATGTTGCCCAGGCTGGTCTCGAACTCCTGAACTCAAGCCATCTGCCTGCCTTGGCCTCCCAAAGTTCTGGGATTACAGGCAGGAGCCACTATGCCCAGGCTTTTCTATCTATTATAATTCTAAGGACTATGTCTCTGATGCACTGCAGTTTCATCACAATGTGTCTAGATACAGATTTTTTAAAATCCTGCTGAGTAGAGATTGCACTGCTTCTATTTATGGAATCATATCCTTCCTTTATTTCTGCAAAATTCTAGATGATTGATTTTTTAAAATTATTTCCTCTTCCCAATTTTTGTTATAATTTTTGCCTGTCTCTAATTTTTAAAATTCTATCCTTCTGGAACTCCAATTAAATAAATGTTAAACCTCCACAGTTATTTTCCATGTCTCTGAATTTCTATTTTATTTTTTCTCCTTTTCCTCTGAAACTAATTCTGAATAATTTCTCTAGACCTTTCTTCCAGTTCACTAAATCTCCCTTTAACTATGAATAATCTGATGTTTCACTCAACCACTCCATTTTTTATTTTGACAATTATACTTACCTCTAAAAGTTTTATTTGGTGCTTTTCTAAAATCTGTCTGCGTAATTACTTGTAATTTATTGCTGTTATTGCAGACCTTTCTTGTGATTACATCTTTTATTTCTTTAAATCTGATTCTTTTTAAAAATCCCGTATATTATAATTACAGAATCTAAAGTCTTTGTGGGTCTAAATCAGATGATTATTGTTTCTGCTGACTATTGCCCATGGTGTCTCATTTCCTTGTGTGTTTGCTGATCTTTGATTGTGAAGTCATGTTTGTTTGATCTTACTCTGGGAAACCTAAGTGAACATGCTTATCCCTAGAGAGGAGCAGGAGTTGGTTATTCTGGGACCCCTTGAGGGTCTCAGCCTAATGGAGAATTCTCATGTTGAGTAACATCCACCCTGCCCCTTGTCCAAGTTTTAGTCTCTTTGTTGAGTGTAGAATTGATACTGACGTCTGCTTTCAGGGAAATCCTTCATGGTCTCCTTGCTTTTTGTTTACCATTCACTGTTAGGTTTTAGCTAATGGTTTTTGTTTTTGTTTGAGATGGAGTCTCACTCTGTCACCCAGGCTGGAGTGCAATGGTGCAATCTTGGCTCACTGCAAACTCCACCTCCCAGGTTCAAGCAATTCTCATGTCTCAGTCTCTCGAATAGCAAGGATTACAGGCACCTGCCACCATGCCCATCTAATTTTTGTATTTTCAGTAGAGTGGGTTTTCACCATGTTGGCCAGGCTGGTCTCGAACTCCTGACCTCAACTGATCCGCCAGCCTCGGCCTCCCAAAGTTCTGGGATTACACACGTGAGCTATTCCACCCAGTCTCATGACTTGAGATGGAAAAAATACTGAGGGATTTCCCGTTCTATAAAGAAGTTTGGCCTGGCATGGTGGTTCACACCTGTAATCCCAAAAGTTTGGGAAGCCAAGGTGAGCTGATCACCTGAGGTCAGGAGTTTGAGACCAGCCTGGCCAACATGGCAAAACCCTGTCTCTATGAAAATACAAAAAAAGTTAGGCATGGTGGTGCATGCCTGCAATCCCAGCTACTCCAGAGGCTGAGGCATGAGAATCGCTTGAAACTGGAAGGCGGAGGTTGCAGTGATCTGAGATCATGCCACTACACTCCAGCCTGGGTGATAGAGCGAGACTCTGTCTCAAAAAAAAAAAAAAAAAAAAAAGTTACCACAAGTCCAACAATGTATTAGGAACCCTATTTAATCCAGGATCTCACTGTTGTATAGCAGGAGAGTGCTTTTGAGGATTGAGTCCCGCCAGCTGCTGAAAGTAGAAGTCTCATCTCACATCTCTCTATCTCCACTGCAGCCTCCACATTTCCGCCACATGCTTGCAGACACATGGACACGTTCCTTCTTTTCTTGCTGCCTGTTCTGTGGGAATGTGTTCTGTTTTCCTATCCAAGTCCACAAGTTCCTGCAAGCCAGGCCTCAAACTTCACTCATTTAATTTCACTGCCCTGGGAGGATGTTTGAGGTACACTGGGTACAGCTCAGTGGGCAGATTAAGAGCACAGATTTTGGAGGCCGACAAAACTTGGGTTGGACTCTGATTTCTGAACCTTCTAGAAGGGGGAAGTCACCTCCCCTCTCTATGCCTCTGTATATTGGAGATCATTCTGGTGGACACTTCACTGGTGTGTTGAGAAGTAAAGCGCTTAGCACCATGCCTGGCATATAGTAGGCCCTCATGAAATAGGATTATAATGATGATCAGCACATAGTAGGTTTTCAACTAATTCCCACTGAGGGAAATAATGCATTATTCAATAAATGGTATTGAGACAATTAACAGTCATGTAGACAAAAAGTAATAAAGTTTAATCCTTACTACATACCTTGTATCTAGGCAAATTCCAAATAGATCAAAGACTTAAATGTGTTTTTTGTTTAATGCAATAAATGGCCAGGCATGGTGGCTCACACCTGTAATCCCGGCACCTTGTGGGGCCAAGGCAGGAGGATTGCTTGAGGCCAGGAGTTCAAGATCAGCCTGGACAACATAGTGAGAACTTGTCTCTTAAAAAAAAAAAAAAAATACATATACATATATGTGTGTGTGTTTGTGTATGTAATACATTAATGTTAGAAGGAATTATGTTTTAAAATGTTTCTCTTAATCTTAGAGTTGAGAAGTTCTTTTTAGGTCTAACAGAAAATTCAGAACCAAAAGAAAAATATGAGATTAAATATAGAAAAAGAAATTTTATACATGAAAAAATTACAGGCAAAGTCAAAACGTAAGAGACAAATGGAGAAAAAATATTGCAGCTAATTTGACAAAGAAGTAACTGCCCAAATATGTAAAGAGCTCCTACAAATCAATAAGAAAAGGCAAACAACCTAGTGGGGGGAAATTCATGTATAATATGAGTAGACAATAAATGGAAGAGAAAATAAAGTGATTCTTCAAAACTGTATATAAAAAAGGCTCATGGAGAAGTGCAAAATAAACCTATGCTGAGGCAATATTTCACCTATCAGATACACGATCAAAAAGTTTGATAACTGGCTGGTCTGAGTGCGGTGGTGTTTACAACTAATTGATCACAAAAAGTTTGATAACTGAGAGAGTGTGGGGTGAGTGAACTGCTACCTCTTCCATGGAGGGTAATTTAGCAACAACTATCAAGTATGCAAATGTGTGCACTCTTTAATTCACCTCTAGTAATTTATCTGACCGATGGATATAACTTACATATGTGTGAAATTTTATTTGTACAGGCTAGTTATTGTAGCATTGCTTGAACCAGGGAAAGACTATGACCTCCCTAGATGCCATCAGTAGGGAACTAGCCAAATAAACAATGGTAAAGCCACACAATGAAGCACCACGATGCCATCCCAAACGAAGAATGCGGAAACTCTGAGACCACTGTTATAGGAAGATCTCAGAGATACTTAGTGAAGTGAAAAGGCAAGGTACAGGCCGGGTGCAGTGGCTTATGCCTGTAATCCCAGCACTTTGGGAGGCTAAGGCAGATGGATCACTCGAAGTCAAGAGTTCGAGACCAGCCCGGCCAACATGGTGAAACCCCATCTCTACTAAAAATACAAAACTTAGCCGGGTGTGGTGGCAGACCCCTGTAATCCCAGTTACTCAGGAGGCCAAGGCAGGAGAATTGCTTGAGCCCGGGAGGCAAAGGTTGCAGTGAGTTGAGATTGTGCCATTGCACTCCAGCCTGGGCGACAGAGCAAGACTCCGTCTCAAAAATAAATAAATTAATTAATTAAAAAAATTTTAAAGGCAAGATACAGAGCAGAGTGTAAAAGGCTGCAATTTGTATAAGCACAGAAAAACACAGTATTAAGAGCGCAGACTCGGCTTGGTGCAGTGGCTCACACCCGTTATCCCAGCACTTTGGGAGGCCAAGGCAGGTGGATCACTTGAGGCCAAGAGTTCAAGACCAGCGTGATTTCACATGGTGAAACCCTTCCTCTACAAGAAATACAAAAATTAGCCAGGTGTGGTGGTGCACGCCTGTAGTCCCAGCTACTTGGGAGGTTGAGGTGGGAGAATCACTTGAGCCAGGGAGGTTGAGACTGCAGTGAGCCAAGACTGCACCACTTCACGACAGCCTGGGTGACAGAATGAGACACTGTCTCTCTCTCTCACACACACACACACACACACACACACACACACACACACAAAAGGCATAGACTCTGGAACTAGACAACTTTGGTTCAAATCCTGGCTGCCTCACTTAATAATGTGATCTTGAGCAAGTCATTTAACTTTCTGTGCCTCAGTTTATTCACCTATAAAGTGGGCATTAATAATTAGAGCACCTGCCTCTCAGGGTTATGATGAACCTACATCACTGAGTCCATAAATATAAAGAATTAGTGTTCAGAATAATATTTATATATAATTATTATATATAAATATGTTATATGTTTATATTTATTATATATAAATATGTTATATGTTTATATTTATATATACAGTATATAAATGTTTGCTGCTGTTATTATTTTTAAATTATTTTTAGTAGCAATGGGGTCTCCCTATGTTGTCCAGGCTGCTCACGGACTCCTGGGCTCAAGCGATCCTCCTGCCTCTGCCTCTGCCTCTGCCTCCCAAGGTGCTGGGATTACAGGTGTGAGGCACAATGCCCAGCCTGCTATTACTACTGTTACTTGCTTATATATGTTTAAAATATTTCTAGAAGGACATACAAGAAGCTGACAATGCCAGGAAGGGAACAGAGTAGCTGGGGTGCTTATCATAAAATCTGAATGTTGAACTAGGCAAACAAATTAACTGCTCAAAAACTAAAGACAAGGCTGGGCATAGTGGCTCACACTTGTACTCCCAACACTTTGGGAGGCCAAGGTGGGAGGATTGCTTGAGCCCAGGAGTTTGAGACCAGCTTGGGCAACATAGCAAGACTCCGTATCTATAAGATATTTCTGAAAAAATTAGCTGGGTGTGGTGGTGTGCACCTGTAATCCCAGCTACTCCAGAAGCTGAGATGGGAGGATCGCTTGAGCCCAGAGGTTCAAGATTGCAGTGAGCTATGATAGCACCACCGCACTCCAGCCTGGGTGACAGAGCAAGACCTCATCTCTAACAACAACAATTAAAAGCAAACAAAAAGTAAAGACAAAAGCAACAAGAGAAATAAGTTTCCACTGAAGGCTCTGTGCTTCACCGTGCCATGTGCTATGCCCCTGCAAATGCCCACCCTGGGCATGGCCCCCTCCTCCCTCTGCCCATGTCCCTCGCCCACCTCGGGGGTCGGCTGTAATCGCCTCCCTGCTCAGCGAGATCTTGCCGATGATGTCGTCGTGCCTGCAGGAAGGCGGGCACGTGAAGGTCTGAGTCAGGGGCCCCTTTGCCCCGCCCCAAGAGAAGTGGGGGCAGGTGTCAAGGTCTGGGTGGGAGGGCACACCCTCGTGGGCTGTGGACCCACATCCCCTCTCCCCTCAGGTGCCCAGGCTTGGGTCCCTAACCCACACATTCCACTTTCCCCAACCACAAACCCGACAGTGTCCTCATCCAGCACGTAGAAGGCCAGCTGGTGGAAATCCAGAGGCAGGTGCACCGTGTACTCCTCCCCCCAGAAGGGGCCCAGGCTCCTCCAGACAGTAGCTGTCCTGCAAAAGGAGGTGCAGGGGGCTGGGGTCCTCGGGCCACACAGGAGGCAGACACCTGGAGACCCAGACACACACACACACACACACACACACACACACACACGGGAATCCAGACACACACACACTCAGAGACCCCCCACATGAACCCAGTTAGAGGCCCAGACACACACACACACCCAAGGACAGCCACTCCAAGATCCTAGATATGTACTCACCCAGGGACACTGGAGCATGTATGAATCCAGGCATAGAAACACACACAGACCCCAACACTCACATACCCAGAGTATCAGACATACACCAGAGATCTCAACACACACACACACACACACACAGAGGCACATACACAAAACACACACATGATCCTACACACCCACATACAGGGCCCCAATACACATCTAAGGTCCCAGATACACAGAGACCAACAGACATGCATAGCAACCAACAGAAACATATGTGCAGATACACACACACGGATTCACACTGAGACAGAGTTGCTCACAGATACACCAAGGAGGCCAGAGACAGAGACACATTTACACATAAGCAGATACACATATGCACCCTCAGAAAGTCCTAAAAACATGTACCTTTGTGTTTGGAAATCCAGACACCAGACACATGCAGATAGACACATAGAAAACAGACACATATGAAAACATATGAAAATAGACATATGTCGGGAACACAGAGACACACTCAGAGATCCAGAGACACACTCTCACACACTTACAATGATACAAGGCAGGTACACATAGAGACACACACACAGTCATACAAACACACAGTCACTGACACACACACACACACACACACACACACACAATTCCATTCATTCATTTGTTCATTCGTTTACTCCATAAACATTCACTTGGACTATGGGCCCAGCCTGTGCTGGGCTCCAGGGATCAGAGGAACAGGTGTCAGGGCTGCTTACCCCACAGACCCCCCTTCCACAAGCAGGCGCTCTCTCCCAGCAATTAGGACATGGTGGGAGAAGTCCTGGGATTGGGGTTAGCTCAATCGCCCCTGGTTGGGTCGTGGGGGTAGGGTCGGAGGGGATTAGGGAAGGCTTCCTGTAGGAGCTAGTCAGGCAAAGTGGGGAGAGACAATGAGGACAAGGACAAGTATTCCAGAAGGCTGGAACAGCATGGGCAAAGGCCCTGTAGCAGGAATGAGTTTCGTGAGCTGAAGGAATAGGAAGGTGCCTGGTGGGAATGGGGGAGGGAGAGGGGCCAGGAGACAGGAGGTGAGCAGGGGACAGAGCACTCGGGGCTTTGAAGCACACAGTGAGCAGGAGGAAGGCACAGGAAGGATGGGGACCAAGATAAGCCCAGAAACAGGTGCACACACACAGCATCTCTGCCCTGACATCCCTGCAGGGGTACTTCCCTTTACCCAGCAGAGAACAGATTCTACTTGCCCGGTAAAGACACACCCACATTTGTGGATGCAAAGTTTGGTTCTCATACCTGTTGCTCCCTTCCTCCCTCCTTTCACCACACTGTGCCCTAAGAAAGAGTGCACATATGCGCGCGTGCGCGCACACACACACACACACCCCGCCTTCTTCCTCCAGCCCAGCGGCACCAACCTCAGATGGACCCCCAGTGCTTCCTCCCAAATACCCTCTTCCCCCAACCTGACCTTTTCCCAGCCAAAGGTCTTCTGAACATTCCCCAGCTCCTGAGCTGAAAGGCTTCTTACAGCCCAGAGAGGGAGAGACAGCAGCCTGGGGTCACACAGAAAATCAATCTGTGGGTTTGGGGTGGTGTCAGGGAATGTATCAAGGGGCCAGCATGAGCACTGGGAGGACAGTGGAGGGGAGTCAGTGGAGGGGGGAGCTACAGCTGACCCCTCCCCCAGGCAGGCTCCCCACCCCCAGCTCTGAGCCCATCTGGACCAGAATAGGAGCATCCTGAATCCTGCCGTCTCCATAGGAACCAAGGCCTCAGCCACCCACCAGCCCACCCACCCCCATCAGGCCTCCAGGGGCTGAGAGCTGTCCCTCGGCCTGCGGGGGTGGGAGCCAAGCAGGGCGCAGCCTGATATCCCCCTGCGAGACTCACTGACACCCCAAACATCCTCACACCTTCACATGTGTCCACACCGGTGCCTTTGTGACCAAATCAGCTGGCATTGGTGTTCACATGCATGTGCAGGGCAGCCATGTGCACGTGCATGTACATGCACCCTACACTGGTACACACACGTGAGCCTGTGCCCTGCACAGCCACGAGGACATACACACGTGGTCACAGGCACTCACACTAGCCCCGCAACATCCCCCACCCCCTGCAACTCACAAGCAGGCCCAGCTGGGCGGGTGCACACACAGACACACATGCACATGCCCACGCGCACAGACATCCCCAGTGCCCGCAGCACCCGGCAGGCCCGGAACCAACCAGTCCAGCCAAGCGTGAGATGCCCGCCCCCAGGGAGGCCACTGTAGGAGGCACAGGCTGGCAGCGCTGAGTCAGCCCCAGGGAGCCAGCAGGGACAGCATTAGGTCCAGAGGGGGAAGGCAGGGCTGGTCGGGGAGAGGAGCTGGCAGTCCCAGCTGGACACAAATCACCCACCTGCAGGCCCGCGAGTCCCCCTCAGGGTAAGCACTCCTTTAAATGTGAATTCTTGGTCCCAGATTCCCCAGGTCTAGAAAGAGACCCCTCCCTTCCTCCTCTCCCCCGTGTCGCCACCCCTCACCTGGCCACCACCTCGTCGTCCACTTTCACTAGGCAGTAGGGGTCGCTGCTCCCAGACCTGCAGAAGGAGGGAGTTCAGGGAGGAAGCAGGTTGAGAGGGCAGCCATGAGTGGAGGGTCCCAGTCATGACACAGGCAGGGGAGTCGGAGGCACAGACAGAGAAGGGGACTTGCCCAGGGTCACACAGCAAGTCCAGCTCAGAAGTAGAACCTTAGGGGACCAGCAGGAGATGTCACAGCTGCCCAGGCCACCACATCTGTGCACTCTGGGCTTCCACCCATAGAAATAGAACAGGGAGGCCTGAGGCCAGCAGGTTCTGAGTCCTGGCCTCGAAAAGCCCAAAGCAGAGGCCCAGAGCGTGTGTGGGGGGGGTGGGGGGGTCTTGAATGCCTGGCTTCACCACCCTCTGGCTGTGCCATCCCAGAGAGTCCCCTTCCCTCTCTGGGCCTCAGTTTCTCTGCTCTATAAATCAGGTGTGATGCTCACATACACCTCCTAGGGGGCTGGAGGAACTCAAATGCTGGGCCGGATCATGGTCTGGCCCCCAGCTCTCCCCTGCAGGGGCTTTAATGCTGTGTCCCCAGCTTTTCATTTCAATGGGAGCTTCCCTGGGAAGGGGACTCCCCATTCCTCAGCCCTCCATGGGGACAGACTCAGCAGACCCTCCCTACAGGCAAAGACCAGGGAACCCAGGCTTCAAAATCAACCCTCGAAATCTCTTAAGATGTGCTGCACCCCCTTAAGTAGCTATGAGTCATCTGCCAATTCAGGCCAGCTGCATCCCCCCTTCATAATAACAGTCACCAGCAAATCCCAAGCTGTCTAACAGGTCCCTCACTTCCTCCTCCATCCCATCATACAGGGCTTCTTTGTCTTTCATCAGGCCCCAGGCCAGCCTCAGGGCCTTTGCACCTGCTGTTCCCTTTGCCTAAGACACTTTAGCCCTGATACTGCCATGGCTGGCTCCTTCCTGCCATTCAAGTCTCAGTCCAAAGTCACCTCCTTGAGAGGCTGTCCCTGGCCACCACTGTCCTATCTAAAATGACCTCCACCTAAAATCATCTTCTTTCTTCTTCTTCTTCTTCTTTTTTTTTTTTTTTTTTTTTGAGACAGAGTCTCACCGTATCACCCAGGCTGGAGTGCAGTGGCGCGATCTTGGTTCACTGCAATCTCTGCCTCCCAAGTTCAAGCGATTCTCCTGCCTCAGCCTCCTGAGTAGCTGGGATTACAGGCACACACCACCACACCTGGCTAATTTTTTGCATTTTTAGTAGAGACAGGGTTTCACCATGCTGGCCAGGCTGGACTCCAACTCCTGGCCTCCAGTAATCCACCCGCCTCGGCCTCCCAAAGTGTTGGGATTACAGGCGTGAGCCACCACAGCCGGCCTCCCTTATTTCTCTATGCGTTTAGTATTGTCTCCCCACCTCCCTGCCACTTCCAAACTGTGAACTCCCTGGGGAGAGTCTGTGTCCCCCACTTCCCCACCCCTGGCCCCCACATCTGGCATGCATTTGGCCCTCTAGAGCTATTTCTGAATGACTGGGTTTATGGAGTGCTCTCTCTGGAGCACGGAGTAACAGTGGAGATAGGACTGGGACCCAGGTTTGTGGGCTCACACTCATGTTCTGAAACCAATGCCCCCTCTACCTATTCAAATGGCCCTCTCCCTCGATGCCCCAGCACCACTCCCTTGATCTCTGCCACCTTCTGTCTCTCCAGTTTGTATAGATCCACAAATGCCTCTGGGATGCCAGGAAAGAGGGACATTGGCGCTAAGAGTTGCCTCCAACCTGAACCTATCTTGCTGGATGAGCCCTTCCCTGTGCCTCGGTTTCCCTCTCTGGACTCCTTCCCTCATCCCCCTCTGGCTGGACACTCCAATGCCTCCATTTCCCTACCTGGCTTCTATCCCTGAACACTTTAGACAGACAGTGTCTTCGTGATCCTCTGTGGATCCTACATCTGAATCCCCTTCTGTGGAGTGCCCCAAGCCTCAGTTTCCTCTTCTGGCTCCATCCCAAATCCATTGGAGCCTCAGTTTCCCCATCTGGGCTTCACCTTCAGACTCCTGTGGCTGGTAATGTCCTGTGTCTCAGTTTCCTTCCCTGGGTTCTCCACCCCTAAGCTTCCTTTATGCAGGCTCCCACCCCTCAGTTTCCCCAACTACAGATGTGGGGTCAGATGGGCTGGGATCCCACTAGCCGAGGGCTGGGAGACACACCCCCTCCTGCAGACCCAGCCTGACCTCCAGGCCCTCCTGGGAGCCGAGCTCAGCACTAGTCAGCTGCAGGGCTCTGACGCATGAGGGCCTTATCAGACTCCTATCAGGGAGGGCAACGGTGGCAAGAGGGGGTGGCTGCTTCCAGACCCCTGATCTCTCCAGACTTGTGGCCTCTCCCACGGCCCCTGACTCAGCTCAGTCTTGGGAAAGCAGGCCCCTCAGCCATTGCCTGCCCAGTCTGGTTTGGGCATGGAGTAGTCAGAGTTCAAATCGCAGCTGGGTGACCTTAGGCAAGTGACTGCCTCTCTGGTCCTCAGTTTCCCCATTTGTAAAATAAGAGACGCCAATAGAACTATATGAAGTGTTAAGCACAGGGCCTGTCCATACTAAGCCCTCAGTGACTGACTGCTACTATTTCTAATAGTAAAAACTCTAAAATTACCTGAAGAGGCCTCCTCCCGGGCCAGAATGGACCCCCCTCAAACCTGGCAATGCTTTAGGCAGAATCTGGGCCCTTTCCCTTAGGAGAAGAGGGAAAGAACACACCCCACCTAAGGGCTCCCATGGCATGGAGCTCCCAGCAGCCTCCAGGAAGAGCCCCTTTGAAGAAGGGTGCTGACAGCTAGGGAAACTGAGGCAGGGTGGCCAGAACCCCCCCTGCCAGCTGGGGCTAAGTGACTCCTCCCCACCCTTGCTCTAGGGCATGACCTATTTCATAGCTCACTGGCCCAGGAATTGGGGGCAGGAAGTTTGGCCAAGAGCTGCAGGAACCAGGCATGACTCAAGTCCCTTCTCCAGAAGAGCAGCAGGTTACCGTAAGCCAGTGTCCAGGTGCAGGGGTGACACCCATCGCCCCCTCATGACCTCTCACCCAGGGCTGGTGGAGGGGCCAGAGCTCAGTGAGTGAGAACCCCGTTTCTGGAAAGAACTCCTTTCACCACCTAGCAGCTGCCAGGCATCCAGCCTGGCCTCAATGCCCTAACAGTGTAGGCCGTCTCATTCCCAGGGCCTCTGAGGGGACATCTTAGAAAGAGTCTGGTGGGGGGGCTTGTCCAGCCACTGAACTGTCAGAGCACACACTCTGCTTCTCATTCAGGGTGTGTATATTTGGAGTAGCCAATGAGGATGAAGGGTGGCAAAAATTGCTCTCAACAGCTGCCCCCTTGACGCAGCTGCAGTGTTTTGGGGGTTGGGAATGTCATAAAATCAGGCAGGAAAGTCCTCTCTGGGAGCCCACACCTTGGGGAATCAGCACAGAGCTAAGACTGAATCTTGACACAGGTGAAGGCTCCCAATCCATGCTCCTGCTCACCTGGGCCACAGGGGAACTCCTAACAGGTCCTCCACCCTCCCAGCTGGATGGGAGACCCCAGGCAACCAGATGGGGACTCCGGTCCAGAGCTCTCATTGCCCAAATGGGAAACCAAGGCCCAGAGAGAAGCAGGTTCAAGGTCACACAACAAATGTCCTCCAGAGGATCCCACACCTGTCGCAGGTGCTAAGGCCCTCAGAGCCCCTTCTGGGCACTATGCCAAGCAGGAGGGGGAACCCGCCCCCCATATTCTGCTGATTCAGCAGCTGCTGACTCAGCCCTGGGGGAAGCATAGCTTGGGACTAGTAGTGAAGGGAGCCGTAGGGTCCCCCAGTCCCATTGCACCTGGCTGGGGAGGGGGTCGCAGCAAGGAATTGGCTCTTCAAGCAGCTCAGCACCCGGGGAAGGCCCACACGAGGCTGGGAGCCACAAGACTGGGGAGCTCAGGGCTTGGGGTCAAAAGGACCCTGGAGGGCCACCTGGTGACACTCTGCAAACCTAAGCACCAGATCCACACAGGATGTTAGGGCTCATCTGATCCCAGGCCCTCTCCAAGGGTCCTCCCCAGGGTTCCCTTGCTAGGCCCCCACCCACGCCTGGAGGAGCCACCTCCAACATCTGCCTGGACTAAGGAAGAGACCCCCCGCTTTCTCCCCTCCCAGATCTGACAGAATATGGCCCTCTAATCCCCTCTTCAGCTCTGGACGACCCCCTTTAGTACATCCCGGGAACAAAGACACCCCCTCCCCTGCCCGGGGGTGAGGCGGGGCATCTGCTAACTCTAGGCGCCCCCCTCCCACCGGGACAGCCATGGGCATGCGGCCTCTCGCCCCTTTAAAGCGGAACTGCCCCAAGACCAGTCTTGGACAAGAACCCCTCGCCCTCCTGCCAACCCGCCCTGGCACGCGGAAAGGGCGACGTCGGCCCCACCCCAGGCCTTGCGCGCCCCTCACCCAGAAGCGCCCGAGGAGTACTCACACGTCCTTGGCAGGCAGCGCGCGGCCCTCCACCACGCGAACATTCAGGGAGCTGCTCTTGGCCATGGCGCCTAGCCACAAACTTTCCAGGCAGAAGGGCGCTCAGGTTCCGAGGCTGGACCAGGGGACGTCTACATGTCACCTGCTTCAAGCCTGGCTCCCTGCCTCGTGGTCCCAGTGCCGCCTGTCCGAGACCCGGGTAGCTGGATGGGAGATTTCCGAAAGAGGAGAAGGTGTAGGTGCCCGGGGAGGGAGCGCCCGTCCGGACTCTACAGGTAGGAGCCGTGCTCCGAGCAGGAGGAGCGCGCAGGGGGCGCAGCGGGCTCTTGCCGAGGCGTCTGGAGCTCCAGACAAGCAGGCTGGGCGGGCAGGGGGCGGGAGGGGCGGCCCAGGGACCTCCCCACAATCCCGCCTCCAATGGGGTCCCCCACCTGACCCCGGGCCCCCTCGCGCGCCCTCTACCGGCACCCCAGTCATGCGCGCCAGAGCGCACGGGCGGCGGAGACAAGGGTGCACCGCCAGGTGGGGAGGGGCCCCCGTCCTGATGGGCGTGGCCGCTGGCTCCTGGTGAGTTGGCATTGGGCTTAAAAGACATGGTCTGTGCCCCCGCCTGTCCCTCATCCAACATATTCACACCTCTCCGCCCCCACCCCTCCTTGCCTACCATGCAGACACCTGCCTCCTCTCTCCAACCTCCGCGCCCCCCGGTCCAGGAGCAAGTATTAGTGGTGGGTGGGAGGCGTCGCCAGAGAGAGGGTCGCATGTTCCCTGGGGGTCCGTTCAGAGTCAAGGGAGGGGCCTTGAACATCCCCTTCCATCTCGTTCTAGTTTCCAGTTAAACACAGAACCCAGACTCTGCTCTAACGTCACGGGCTGGCACTGCGGGGGAGGAAGCCGCGGCCAGATGGGGGAGGGGAAGGCTTGAAGATAACCACTACAGCGATGATAAAAAGTCATCTACAGTTGTTTGAACACTTCATGGGTGCCAGGCACTGTTCTAAGCGCTTTACTGGGATTAGCTCATTTTTGTCTCCAGATGTGCACTACACACTACTCCACTGTTACCCCATTATCCGCAGTTTATGGATAAAGAAACTGAGGTTCAGAGGGATTAAATAACTTGGCAGAGGTCTCACAGTCAGTAACTGATTTGCCTTCCAGGGGTTCGAATCCTGGCTCTGCCATTTGGTAGCTGTCTGGACTTGGGTAAGCCATTCAACCTCTCTGTGCTTTGGTTTGGTTTTCTCATCTGTTGAGTGAGGATGACATTGCATTTCAGTCACAGGATTTTGAAAGAATTAAAAGAGTTAATGAAGATAAAAGTCTCAGGACAGTGACAAGTACCTAATACACGTCCAGAAAGTGTTTGATATTCTGATTGTTGTCCTTTGAGGCGTGGGCCACGCGTCACCTCTCCTGGGAAGGCTTCCAGGATGCCCTTCCACTCCGGTAGAGATTTTCTTTCCTTTCTCTCTGCTCCAGTGGCTCCAGGTTTGTACATTTTTCTGATTTTAAATGAGATAATATGACAGGCAGGGCCTGTCCCAGAACAGATCCGTTCGCACACTTATTTCTCCCTGTGAATTCATTGTTGACCTGCCCAAGACCTCTTAGAAAGGCCAGGCACCAATGGGAGTGCCCCTGCAGACTGAGTGCGGGAGCCAACGCCCAGACCGGTGAGACCAGGAGTGCCCTTCCTGGATCCGTCAGCAGCCCAATGGTCTGCTTCCCAGTCTCCCTTCTTGACTCCCCACCCAGCAACCCAGACAGGCTGATGAGGAACTCAGAGCCCTGGAATTCCTTCCCCAGCTGGTGGCTGCCTGGTGAGTCTCTGACCCACCAGAGATGGGGTCTCAGTTAATCCCATCTGGGAAATGGACCTAGCAGAACAGGCTCCAAGGCTTAGAAGTATTGCAACATCCTCAGCGGGGCATGAGGGGTAATCCAGGGTTAGATCCAGAACAGTAATAGCCCCAAAGGAGTCATCCCACTGTGATTTTTTTTTTTTTTTTTGCCCAGCTGGAGGGCAGGGCTCGATCTTGGCTCACTGCAACTTCCACTCCTGGGTTCAAGTGATTCTCCTGCTTCAGCCTCCTGAGTAGCTGGGACTACAGGCACCCACTACTATGCCCGGTTAATTTTTGTATTTTTAGTAGATTTTTATAGTTTGTATTTTTATATCACCATGTTGGCCAGGCTGGTCTTGAACTCCTGATCTCAAGCAATCCACCCACCTCAGCCTCCCAAAGTGCTGGGATTATAGGCGTGAGCCACCATGCCTGGCCCACTGTGATCTTTATCAGTTACCCCAGATTCTCTCCAAAGAAAATATACCACCTAAGGTGGTGGGGGGAATGGTACTTAAGGTATTTGCTATGTAACTGAAGCTTTAAGACGGGAATCCTGCCCCCCGCCCCACACCGCCCCCCACCACACACATTTAGTGGAAGCTACTGTTTGAGCCTTTTTCTTCTGTGAGCCTGCAAAGACCGCAGACAGGCCTCCAGACCCCCAGGACCCCTTTTGGAACCCCCTGATGATGGAACCTAAGGGGCCTGTTCCTCCAGCCCCCATGGGATGCCAGCCAAACTGCCACGCAGCCATCTTGGCCCATCTTCCAGAGCTAAGCAGGAAGTCATATACCCAAACACCCTTCCCCAGCTCCCCACGGGGAAATACCAAGGATATAGACTGTGCCAGCTGGGCCTCCAGCAAGCCAGCGCTGTTACCTGTCCAATATCTGGAGGGTGACCCCAAAATTTGCCTGGGGCAATGGCCACAGTCCCCAAACTTTGCACATGGCCCGGCCATTTCCTGTTGTTCTGAGAATCTCTGACCTGAAACTAGCAGGGAGTTGGAGGTTGCCTAGGGCAGTCCATGCCAAGGGACCGAAGCGGAAAAGGCAGACCAGAGAGAGTGTGTGACCTGCGCGGGACCATCCAGCTAGGCAGGGAGAGGGCAGGCTGGTGATTCTCCCAGGGTTATTATGAGAGTTAATCTCGAGGGCAGCGTAAGGCACTTAGCATCATTCCTGGCACATAGTAGGTGCTCAAGAAATGGCCAAACCCCAACCCCAAGCTCCTTAAAGGTAAATTCATAACCATCTCTTGCAATACCCATGCGATACACACAGCAGGTGTTTCATAAAGACTTAAGTGGGAAGAAATGCTGAGCTCAGGGTTTACCAGAAGAGGGTTTAGCATCAGGCTGACCTAGGATTGAACCCTGGCACCTGTACTTCCAAGCCAAGTGTTCTTGGGCAAGTGAGTTACTCTCTCAGTGCCTCAGTTTCTTCATCTGTAAAGTGGGGATACTAATAGAATCCACCTCTAGGATGAGCATGAGGCTGGAAAAGAAATAAGTGCCAGGTGTTTAGCACAGCCTGGCATACTACAAGCACTCAATAAATGTCATGGCCATTGTGGGACGTCCTGTGCCTGATACTGAGCCCCATTTGGTGGCTTAGCTCTGAGGCTGGGTCCTGGGGACATTGCCCAGGTAGAATGCAGGCCCAGCCCCAGATTCCAGACATGGATGAAGGCCCACACTTCAGTAGCCAGGGCAGTTCCAGATCGCTGAGCTGGGGGAATCTGAGGATTTTCATCCTGGCTGAGAAATCTGATAGACAGCTTCCAAGATCAGGGCTCCGGCCTCCCCTGTGGGCCCTCTGTCCAGGACAGGCTGAGTCTTTGCTTGATCTGAGATGCTGAGCCCTCTGACCAGGACTGGCTGAGTCTCCACTTGATCTGAGATGCTGGGCCTGTGGCCCAGGGAGGGCTCACAGGCATGGAGGAGAGAGGGCTCCTCATCCCAGAAGAGGAATCGGGCCTGGGCATGGTGGGGGCGTCCTGGAGCCCGCTCCCATCGGCACTGGATTCGACTGTGCACATAACTTTCCAACTCCATGTTTAGCCACATCACATGGGAACTTGAAATTGACTAGGGTAGGATTTACAGTATGGAAACTGGCAAATGCTACATTTGTTTTTGAGAGTCAGTTTACCAATACACTACTGGGCACAGGAATCCCCAGTCACATAGCTCTCTAGACACCGTTCCTGAATTCAACACCCTTAAGACTTTTCTCGTATCCTCCCAATCTGCTCCCCCAACACACACTGCCTTTGCTCGATCAGTCATTTCCCTCAAGAAGGCCTTTACAGGGCCAGACATGGTGGCTTACCCCTGTAATCCCAACACTTTGGGAGGCCAAGGTGGGAGGATCGCTGAGGCAAGGAGTTTGAGACCAGCCTGAGCAACATAGCAAGACCTCGTTGCTACAGAAAATTTTAAAATTAACCAGGTATGATGGCTTGCACCTGTAGTCCCAGCTACTCAGGAGGCTGAGGCAGGAGGATGGCTTGAGCCCAGGAGTTCAAGGCTGCAGTAAGCTATGATAGCATCACTGCACTCCAGCCTGGGCAACATAGCAAGACACCGTATCTTAAAAATAAATAAATAGGCTGGGTGTGGTGGCTCACACCTGTAAACCTAGCATTTTGGGAGGCCGAGGCAGGAGGATCACTTGAGCTCAGGAGTTTGAGATCAGCCTGGGCAGCATAGTGAGGCCTCATCTCTATTATAGAATTCTTTTTAATTAAATAAGTAAATAAGGCTGGGCATGGTGGCTCACACCTGTAATCCCAGCATTTTGGGAGGCCGAGAGGGACAGATCACTTGAGCTCAGGAGTCAGAGACTAGCCTGGGCAACATGGCGAAACCCCGTCTCTACTAAAAATATAAAAATTAGCCAGGCGTGGTGGCATGTGCCTGTAATCCCAGCTACTTGGAAGGCTAAGGCACAAGAATTACTTGAACCTTGGAGACATAGGTTTCAGTGAGCCGAGATTGCACCAATGCACTCCAGCCTGGGTGACAGAGCGAGACTTTCTCAAAAACAAATAAATAAATAAGTAAAAGTCCTCCCAATAGGTTAATAAAGATTATAAGAGATGGTGGTGGGGGGAAGTAAAGCACAGGCATCAGTGTAAATGAATACTGCATGGCTCTTTCAAAAATGTTCTCAAGGAAGATTTAATGACAAGAAAATACTAAAAAAGCATAAATGGTGAGGAAAAGGTATATACAACCATATACACAGTATGAGTCTGAGGCCATAGAATATTCTGTGTATGAATATATAAGATCTTTTGTTGAATAAACGTGTATTGAGCACCTACAATGTACTAGATGGTAGGGATATAGCGAGGTTCAAGTGAAGGATAAGATGGCCCCGCGCTGCTCTCCTGGGGCTCTCAGTAAAATAGGAAAGCAGACAAAAGTAACACAGCTCAATAATAAACTCCCAGAGAGTAAAGAACGATGCGAGGATGATGGAGCAGACATGGGGGTACAGCTGGAGCTGGAGGGATTCCTTACACAAAATAGCATGTACTTTTTTTTTTTTTTTTTTTTTTTTGAGGTGAAGCCTTGCTCTGTCACCCAGGCTAAAGTGCAGTGGCACGATCTCGGCTCACTCTGTTGCAGCCTGGGTGGCTGGAGTGATCTTGGCTCACAGGGAGGTGGAGTGGCACCTCTGCCTTCCAGGTTCAAGTGATCCTCCCACCTCAGCCTTCCAAGTAGCTAGGATTATAGGCATGTGCCACCACGCCCAGCTAATTTTTTGTGTTGTTGTTTTTGTTGTTGTTGAGACAGACTTTCACTCTGTCGCCCAGGCCAGAGTGCAGTGGGGCAATCTCGGCTCACTGCAGCCTCTGCCTCCTGGGTTCAAGCAATTCTCCTGACTCAGCCTCCCAAGTAGCTGGGATTACAGGGGTCCGCCAACACACCTGGCTAATTTTTGTTTTTGGTTTCGGTTTGTTTGTTTGTTTTTTTTTTTTGAGACCGAGTCTCGCTCTGTCGCCCAGGCTGGAGTGCAGTGGCGGGATCTCGGCTCACTGCAACCTCCAACTCCTGGGTTCATGCCATACTCCTGCCTCAACCTCCTGAGTAGCTGGGACTACAGGCGCCCACTGCCACGCTTGGCTAATTTTTTGTATTTTTAGTAGAGACAGGGTTTCACCGTGTTAGCCAGGATGGTCTCGATCTCCTGACCCCGTGATCCACCCTCCTCGGCTTCCCAAATTGTAATTTTTGTATTTTTAGTAGAGACGGGGTTTCACCATGTTGGCCAGGGTGGTCTTGAACTCCTGACCCCAGGTGACCCTCCTGCTTCGGCCTCCCAAAGTGCTGGGGTTACAGGCGTGAGCCACCACACCCAACCCCATGTGCTTCTTTTATCATCAGAAAAGGATTCGTGGTCCCTCCGGCTTCTAAAGGAACCACTGTCCCAAGCCATGTGCTCCACAGGCCATGTGGCAAGAGGGGGTGGCTGCTTCCAGACCCCTGATCTCTCCAGACTTGTGGCCTCTCCCACGGCCCCAAGTACAGGTGAGTGGCTCTCACCTCTAATCCCAGCACTTTGTGAGGCTGAGGCAGGAGGATTGCTTGAGCCCAGGAGTTTGAGACCAGCCTGGGCAACATAGCAAGACCCTGTCTCTACAAAAAATAAAAATAAAAAATTCGTTGGGTGTGGTGGCACACACCTGTAGCCTCAGCTACTCCAGAGGCTAAGGCAGGAAGATCTCTTGAGCCCAGGAGTTTGAGACCAGCCTGGGCAATGTAGTGAGACCCCGTCTCCATACATAAATAAATGGAATAGTTGTCCTTTATTTGTATTTCCACAGTCTCTGAGAAGCCCTTACAGAGGAGTGGGGAGGCAGAGATGCTCCCCCAACCCCAGGCCCCAGAGGCACCGCTGTGTGACCTTGGTCTCTTGTTCCCTTATTTCGTGGCAATTTACATGCTTCTCTTACCTTCTAAATGTCAGGGACAGTGTCTGATTCATGTTGAGCCTCCCACACAGCTAGGCACATAAGAAAGACTCACGACACGCACACCGGGCTAAACAGAATTCAGTTCCCCTGGAGGGCTGGAACCCGGCCTCTCTTCATGTGATAACAGTCACATTATTTTTTACTTCCTCCCTCCCTACAGTGCCTAGGAGGGCAGCTTCGTCATTGCCAATTTACCACCTGCCCAGTGTACCTACACCTTCAAACCAGGAGGCCTGTGTCCCCTCCTGGGGAGTGGCACCTTCCATTCTGAGGCCAAGACCAGGGCAAAGCAGACACGGGCCCTGGCCTAGGCTGGGGTGATGGGTTGTTCTTTGTCTCAGGAACACAAAGCCCTGTTTGTGATTGCTGGGCACGATTCTGGGCAGGGAGCCACGTGGGACAGGAGGCAGCGGTGGCAGGAGTGGGCAGGAATTCCCAAACCCCCTCCTGCGGGCTGGCTGCCGAGGTTCCCTCCTCCCAGGGCCTGAAAACAAGGTGTCTGTCTTTCAGTCGGCACCCCCACTTCCTCCTGCCTCAGCCCCACTCCCCAGAGTTCTCCCCGCACCCCACCTTGGAATGGAGAAGTAGAAATGGGGAAGGCACGGAAGCGTGAGATGGGCGGGTTGGGGGATATTTCCAGAGCTTGTAGGTTTTCAGCCAAGGGCAAGGCCGGCTGAGCTGTGTCCTGCTGTCACTCAGCGTCCCCACCCTCCAGGAGGTAGGGGCAGAGGCATGAAGGAGGCTGAGCTGGCAAGACACTGGGACTCCCACCCCGAAGCATGGCGGGAGGGCTTGGGAACAGCACCCCATTGAACAGAGAGGAATGCTGAGGCCTGGGTAGGCAAGGGTATTAGCTGGCTGCAGAGCTGAAGCCACAGCCCCAGCCTTCTAAGAGAAGTGGTTTGTGCAAGGACTTTCTTCCCTTCCTTAAGCCATGAGCAGCTCCAGGAGAGGGAAGTTGAATGATTTTTTTTTTTGAGATGGAGTCTCTCTCTGTCACCCAGCCTGGAGTGCAGTGGCATGATCTCGGCTCACTGCAACCTCCTGGGCTTATCCCTTCCTCAAGGAGGCCTCCCTGCCCCTGTGCATGCTCTCTAGGCCTCTCCTCCTAACCCATCACATATCTGTAGGGTGATTTGATTGCTCTGACTTCTCCACTGGCCTGTAAGCCCGGGAAGTCAGGTTTTGTCTTGTCCCCTGCTATATCCTTAGCATTGAGCACAGTGTCTGGCATAGGGTAAGATGCTCAATAAATATTTGCAAAAACCACTTCTAAAAGAACATAATGGCTGGGTGCGGTGGCTCATGCCTATCATCCCAACACTTTGGGAGGCTGAGATGGGTGGATTACCTGAGGTTGGGAGTTTGAGACCAGCCTGACCAACATGAAGAAACCCCCTCTCTACTAAAAATACAAAAAATTAGCCGGGCGTGGTGGCACATGCCTGTAATCCCAGCTACTCGGGAGGCTGAGACAGGAGAATCACTTGAACCTGGGAGGTGGAGGTTGCGGTGAGCCAAGATTGTGCCATTGCACTCCGGCCTGGGCAACAAGAGAGAAACTCCGTCTCAAAAAAAATAAAAATAAAAATAAGAATAGAAATTGCTGGTGTGGTGGCTCACGCCTGTAATCTCAACACTTTGAGAGGCTGAGGCGGGAGAATCACTTGAGCCCAGGAGTTTGAGACCAGCCTAAGCAACATAGCAAGACCTCATCTCTACAAGAAATTTTAATAATTACGGCCGCACACGGTGGCTCATGCCTGTAATCCCAGCACTTTTGGAGGCCAAGGCAGGCGGATCACCTGAGGTCAGGAGTTTGAGAGCAGTCTGGCCAACATGGTGAAACCCCATCTCTAATGCCTGTAATCCCAACACTCTGGGGGACCGAGGTAGGAGGAGGCCGAGGTAGGAGGCTCTCCTGAGGCCAGGAGATCAGGACCAGCCTGGGCAATGTAGTAAGACCCCATCTCTACAAAAAAATTTTTTAAACTTAGCCTAGCACGGTGGTGCACACCTGTAGTCACAGCTACTGAGAAGGCTGAGGTGGGAGGATTGCTTAAGCCCTTTAGCCTGGGCGACAGAGTGAGACTCTGGCTCTAAAATAAATAAATAAATAAATAAATAAAACTCTACAGTTAAAAACAATCCAGTTAAGACATAGGCAAGAGGCGTTTCACTGAACTGAACATATATTTTACTGAGGAGGATATACAGATGGCAAACAAGCACATGAAAAGATGTTCAACTTCATTAGCCTTTAAAGAAATGCAAAATAAAAACACAATGTGCTATCACTACATGCCTATCAGAATGGCTGAAATAAAAAAATAGTGATCACAGCAAAGATACAGAGACACTGGATCATTCATTTTTTGCTGGTGGAAATGTAAAATGTGCAGCCCCTATGCAAAAGAATATGAGAGGTTTTTTTAAATTTTTTAATTTAATTTTTTTTTTTTTGAGATGGAGTCTCACTCTGTCCCCCAGGCTGGAGTGCAGTGGTGCGATCTCAGCTCACTGCAACTTCTGCCTCCTGGATTCAAGCAATTCTTCTGCCTCAGTCTCCCAAGTAGAGTAGCTGGGATTGCAGGTGTGCACCACCATACCAGGTTAATTTTTGTATTTTTAGTAGAGATGGAGTTTCACCATGTTGGCCAGGCTGGCCTCGAACTCCTCCTGACCTTAGGTGATCTGTCCGCCTCAGCCTCCCAAAGTGCTGGGAGAAGTGCTCAGCTCACTCTGTTGCAGCCTGGGTGGCTGGGAGAACAGCGTGAGCCACCATGACCGGCTGGCAGCTTCTTTAAAAACGAAATGTCACTTACCATACAGCCCAACAATTTCACTCTTGGGCATTTATCCCAAAGAAATAAAGGCATAGGCTCACACAAAAAGTAGCACATGAATCTTCATGGCATATATATATATTCTTTATATATATAATTTATTTATATGTATATATATTTTATATATGTATGTATATATTTTGGAGACATGGTCTCACTCTGTCGCCCAGGCTGCAGTGCAGTGATGTGATCACAGCTCACTGCAGCCTTGACCTCACAGGCTCCTGCCTCAGTCTCCCAAGTAGCTAGGACCACAGGCCTGTGCCACCAAACCCAGCTGATTTTTCTTTTCTTTTTTTTTTTTGTAGAGACAGGGTCTCTCTATGTTATCCAGACTGACTTTGAACTCCTGGGTTCAAGAGATCCTCCTGCTTCAGCCTACCAAAGTGCCAAGATTACAGGCATGAGCCACTGCACCTGACCCAGCTTTACTCTTAATAGCTTTATTCTTAAAAACTGGAAATGACC
This sequence comes from Homo sapiens, assembly GCF_000001405.40. Lineage (NCBI taxonomy): Eukaryota > Metazoa > Chordata > Mammalia > Primates > Hominidae > Homo > Homo sapiens. The sequence goes on from NC_000012.12 coordinate 113,145,547, forward strand.
CAAATGTCCTTCAGCCTGAATGGTTAAACAAACTGTGGTACACCCATACCATGGCATGCTGCTCAGCAATCCAAAGGAACAAACTATCGATACATACAACAACCAGGATGGATCTCAAGAGAATTACGCGTAGTGAAAAAAGCCAATCTCAGAAGGTTACATACTGAAAGATTCCCTTTCTCTCCCCTCCCCTCCCTTCCCCCACCCCTGCTCCCCCCTCCCCCTCCTTCCTTTTGAGACAGGGTCTTGCTCTGTCACACAGGCTAGAGTGCACTGGCGGGATCATGGCTCACTGCAGACTCTGTCTCCCAGGATCAAGTGATCCTCCCACTTCAACCTACCGAGTAGCTGAGACTACAGGCATGCGCCACCACGCCTGGATAACTTTTGTATTTTTTTGTAGAGACAGGATTGCATCATGTTGCCCAGGCTAGTGTCAAACTCCTGGAGTCAAACGATCCTCCTGCCTCGGCCTCTCAAAGTGTTGGAATTACAGGCGTGGCCACCGTGGCTGGCCAATTCCATTTCTCTAACATCCTTGACATGTCAAAATTATACAGATGAAGAACAGAGGAATGGTTGTCAGGGCTTAGGGAGGGGAGAAGCAGGAGACCAGTATGCCTCTAAGTGAACCTTGTGATGAACTGTTCTGTATTTTGACTATAGTGGTTGTCACATAAATATACCTGAGGCAAGGCTGCATAGAACTAAATATACACACACACACACATACCCATGAATGCATGTTAGAATGGTGAAATCTGAGTGAGTTCAGTGGGTTGTATCAATGCCAACTTTCTGATTGTGATATTGTACTATAGTTACGCAAGATGTTACCACTGGAGAAAACTGGGTGGAAGGGATATGGGATCTCTCTGTATTGGTCCTTAAACTGCATGTAAATCTACAGTTATCTCAAAAATTAAAATGTAATCTAGGCCGGGTGTGGTGGCTAACGCCTATAATCTCAGCAGTTTGGGAGGCAGAGGCAGGCGGATAGCTTGAGCACACAAGTTCAAGACCAGCCTGGACAACATGGTGAAACCCCACCTACAAAAAATACAAAAATTAGCTGGGTGTGGTGGCACCTGACTGAGGTCCCAGTTTCTTGGGAGGCTGAGGTGGGAGGATGGCTTGAGTCTGGGAGGTAGAGGTTGCAGTGAGCCAAGATCATGCCACTGCATTCCAGCCTTGTGGTAGAGCCAGACCTTGTCTCAAAAAAAAAAAAAAAAAATTAAACCATAATCTATACTACAATACAACTATTAAAATGACCTTTTTTTTTTTTTGAGACAGAGTCTCACTCTTATCACCCAGGCTGGAGTGCAGTGGTGCAATCTCAGCTCACTGCAACCTCTGCCTCCCAGGTTCAAGCGATTCTCCTGCCTCAGCCTCCTGAGTAGCTGGGATTACAGGCACATGCCCCCATGCCCAGCTGATTTTTGTATTTTTAGTAGAAACTGGGTTTCACCATGTTGCTCAGGCTGGTCTTGGTGACCTCAGGTGATCCACCTGCTTCAGCCTCCCAAAGTGCTGGGAATACAGGCATGAGCCACCACACCCGGCCATAAAATGACTTTTTAAAAAACTGACAATACCAACTGCTGGTGAGGATATGGAGCAACTAGAACTCTCCTAATGGAGCAACTAGAACTCTTGTACATTGCTAGTGTGAATATAAAAATAGTACAGCCACCTTGAATAACAGCTTGCAGTTTTTTATACAGTTAAACATACACTTACCATACGACACAGCAATACCACTCTGACATATTTACACAAGTGAAATGAAAACTTATGTTTGCACAAAAACCTGCACATGAATACAGCCTGTATTTGCAAGTGCCCAGAACTGGAAGCAACTCACCTGTCTTTCATCTGGGGAATGAATCAACAAACTATAGTATTCATAATATAATGTACCCGGCAATGAAAAAGAATGAGCTACTGATACACATATCAATATGAATGAATCTCAAATGAATATTACTAAGTGAAAGAAGACAGACTCAAAGGGCTACAAAGTGTATACCGTGATTTCATGTATGATATCCTGCAAAAGGTAAAACTCGAAGGACAAAGAATATGTAGAAGTTGCCAGAGGCTGGTGTGGAGGGAAGGGTTGATTATAAAGGGGCACAAGGGCTTTTTGGGGTGATGGAAATGTTTTGTATGTTGATTGTGGTGGTGATTACATGACTTTATGCATTTGCCAAAATCCATAGAATGGTATATGGAAAAAGTGACTTTTACTTTTTGTAAAAGATACCTTTATCTTTTAAAAAATTAAGAAAAAAATGAAGCCAGGCAAGGTGGCTCACGCCTGTAATCCCAGGACTTTGGGAGGCTGAGGCGGGCAGATCGCCTGAAGTCAGGAGTTCATGACCAGCCTGGCCAACATGGCAAAAACCCATCTCTACTAAAAATACAAAAAACTAGCCAGATGCGGTGGCGCGCGCCTTCAATCTCAGCTACTCCAGAGGCTGAGGCAGGAGACTCGCTTGAACCCAGGAGGCAGAGGTTGCAGTGAGAGGAGATCGTGCCACTGCACTCCAGCCTAGGTCACAGAGCAAGACTCCATCTCAAAAAAAAAAGAATGAAAAAATGAGATCATATCTTATTGTAACTTCACATCAATTTGTGCAGAAAGACAGCATGTCCAATTTAATTTTTAAAAATGCTCAAAGGTAAAATGTACATTATTTTAGTTCTTTTTAATTTCTTAGATATTGATTGATTGATTGATTGAGACAGGGTCTTGCTCTGTTGCCCACGCTGGAGTGCAGTGGAGTGATCATAGCTCACTGCAACCTCAACCTCCTGGGCTCAAGTGATCCTCCTGCCTCAGCTTCCCGAGTAGCTGGAACTATAGACACATGCCACTATCCCCAGCTAATCTTATTATTTTTTGTAGAGATGGGGTCTCTCTGTGTTACACAGGCTGGGCTGGAACTCCTGGGCTCAAACAAGCCTCCCACCTTGGCCTCCCAGAGTGCTGAGATTACAGGCATCAGCCACCGCACCCGGCCCTAGTTCTGTTTTTTAAAACATGCTCTAACGAAATCCTTAGGAGTTTTTTAAGCAATGTAGGATTACAAGGAACTATAGGTTTTTGAAACAGCATTGCTCTACATTAAGAAAATACATTTCTTTGAATGGAAAATAAATTATTTAAAATGGAAAATAAAATGACCGGAAGCAGGGAGGACAAGATGCTAGTGTTTGTTGCTTTGAATTGAAGAACCCAAGGGTACTTTTTATATTACTCTTGGTACTTTTCCCTAGTACCATCCACCCCCCACAGGGCTGTCTTAGGGATTAATTTAGATACTATAGAGTGCTGAGCATAGCATCTAACCCACAGTAAAGCCCAAACTATTGGCCAGGTGTGGTGGCTCACGCCTGTAATCCCAGCACTTTGGGAGGCCAAGGCAGGTGGCTCACTTGAGGTCAGGATTTCAAGACCAGCCTGACCAACATGGTGAAAGCCCATCTCTAATAAAAATACAAAAATTAGCCAGGCCTGGTGGAGTTCACCTGTAATCCCAGCTACTCGGGAGGCTGAGGCACGAGAATCGCTTGAACCTGGGAGGCAGAGGTTGCAGTGAGCCGAGATCGAGCCTCTGCACTCCAGCCTGGGTGACAGAGCGAAACTCCATGTCAAATAAATAAATGCCCGAACTCTCAGCTTCTCCCATCACCCCATCCCCCAAGTCCAGACCATCCCTTCTAAGCTGGTCTCCACTAGGAGGTCCTGATGGTCTCCCTTTCCCTAACCAGGCTGGGGGCTCCCTGAGAAATAGCCAGAGGAGCCCCATCACCAGGACAGGGAGTGGCGCCTCAAAGGGCTGGGAGTGAATGACTCCACCCAGGGCCTGGCTAGCAGTGCGCGCCCAGTAATTATTCTTTCGAGCCATTAACTGAGTACACACAAGCGTGGCCCAGATAGTGAGGCTATCCCACCCAGCCAGGAAGAAGCTTGGCCAAACGTGGGGCACTAAGAGAGGCAATTTCTTGGCCAAGGGAGCCCCATCCTCTCCATTGCACCACCGATTTGATGGGGTGTTACAGGCCTCTCCAGGAGGGGCAGAGGTGCTCCTTTCCTCGCAGGCCCCTCCCTCTCCCTCCAGGCGGCAGCTAGGCGATGGAATGTTGTGTGGTCGGTTGCCAGGCAACCAGAGCCTGCTGGTGGCTGCCTTCTGGGCCGAGCTGAGCAGGCTTCCACACCACGCTCCACAGAACCCCCAGGGTCTCCTAAGCTTGTGCAAAACTCCAGCTGGTGGAAAGAAAGCTGGGGCAACTGCCAGAAGGATGGCGGTGCCCTGGGAGGAATATTTCCGACTGGCTTTGCAAGAGAAACTGTCTACGTGAGTGGGACGTAGAGGGAGGGAGGGCTAGAAGGAGGGCGGGAATGCGTGGGCTGGCCCATCCTTTCTTCCTCACCTCCTGGGTCCTGGCTTTGGGCAGATCATAGTGGGGGTTATTGTCCCCACTTCACAGAGGAGGAAACTGAGGATCAGAGAGAAACCGAGGCATCACCATGGTCTCAGGGATCGTTCCTGATCCCCCACCCCTAGCTGACATCCGGCTGAGATTAAATCATTCAAACCAAGCTGGGAAGGAATTATTCTATGAAATCCTGCTCCCCAATCCACCCCCAAAACTGCATTTTCAGGAGGAACAGAGGAAGCTTGTTCTGTGTCTCCTTCATGTTCAGCAGCATGGCCTCAAGTCCCAACCTCAGTATCAGCATCTGTAAAATGGGGAGGGGGGTTTTCTTCTGGACCACGGCTGGGAAAGCCTTGCTGATTACACATTAGTCATTCTTTCTGCTCTCCCTTTCTCCCGGGGCGCTGGACTCCAGAACCCCACTGCCTCCTGGGCCTCTCCCTGCAGAGGTCTCAGGCATCTCGGGCTTGGCCGTAGTAGGGAGCTGGTCTCCCCCACCTGACCTGCTCTCCTGCAGCCTCATCCTTCCGGCTCCTGGGGTCACCTCTGACCCCTTTCTCACTCCCCTCCCCACTCCATCAGTTCTGCTCTCACCTCCTGCCACTGCTGCCCTGCTCAGAACCACACTATCTCTGGAATATCCCGTGGCCCCACCACTGGTCTCCCGCAGCTGCCCACTGTCCTTGCTCCTCAAAGCAGCCAGAAGGGCCCCTCCTCTGCCCAAAACACTCCCTCCGCTCCCACTTCACTTAGAGTCAAGGCCAAAGTCTCCACTCACCATGGCCCACCGCAGTTGGATTCTCAGCTCCTCCCTGCTCCCAATTCCCATCTTTTTCCTCCTCCCTCCCTCCTCTGCAGCCACCCTAGCCACACCAGGGTCCTAGAATCTGTTCCCTGGAGATGTCCACGTGGCTTGCTCCCTCTTCTCCTCCAGGTCTCTGCTCAGATGCCACCTCCTCTGTGTTGAAAGATTCCTTTAGTCCACTTAATTTTTCATCTCAGTGCCTACCATGTCCTGGCATTCTTTATTATTATTATTATTATTATTTATTAGCTTGATTTTCTGTGGCTCCCAGAACAATGCAAGTTCACGAGGGAACAGGGATTTTTGTCTGTCCTGTTTACAGCTGCACCCCCAGTGCCTACAAGGGTGCCTGGCCCAGAGTAGGTGCTCAGGACAATTTGTTCAATGAATAAAGAATTCAACCAGGTGCGGTGGCTCACACCTGTAATCCCGGCACTTTGGGATGCCAAGGTGGGTAGATCACATGAGGTCAGGATTTCGAGACCAGCCTAGCCAACATGGTGAAACCCTGTCTCTACTAAAAATACAGAAATTAGCTGGGCATGGTGGCGTGCACCTGTAATCCCAGCTACTTGGGAGGCTGAGGCAGGAGAACTGCTTGAACCTGGAAGGCGGGAGGTTGCAGTGAGCCAAGATCGTGCCACTGCACTCCAACCTGAATGACAGAGCAAGACTCCATCTCAAAAACTATATAATAATAATAATAATTCAACCAGATGTGGTGGCTTATGCCTGTAATCCCAACACTTTGGGAGGCTGAGGCAGGAGGATTGCTTGAGTCCACGAGTTCAAGACCAGCCTGGGCAATAAAACAAGACCTCATCTTTACAAAAATAAAAAAATAAAAATTAGCCGGGTGTGGTGGCACATGCCTGCAGTCCCAGCTACTCAAGAGACAAGATGGGAGGATCGCTTAAGCCCAGGAGTGAGCTATGATGATTAGACCACTGCACTCCAGCCTGGGTGACAAAGCAAGACCCAAAAACAAGTCTCAAAAAAAAAAAAAAAAAATTAAACAGCCAGCAGGTGGCTAATGGGGCACTCCAGACACAGTGGTGAGATGTGGGGCCCTGAAACATGCTTCCTTCACCCCCACCTCCTACTTGAGCCTCTTCAGAAAGCTGCCAGAGCAGGCTGAGGATCATGTCCCACCAGTACTGCGTCTCCTGGAGAAGAGGCAAGAGCTGGTAGATGCAGACCAGGCCCTGCAGGCCCAGAAGGAGGTGAGCCCCCACTACTGTAACGAGGTGGTGAGCTGGTGGATGGGAAGTGATGGAGCCAATTTATTAGTGACAAGGTCTGAGACAAGTCATTTCACCACTCCAAGCCTTGATTTCCTCATCGTCAAATGGGGATCAAATGAGACCAGTTGTTGGTGCAAATAAATTTGTGTGCATTGAGCATGTGCTGGGCACTGCATTAAGCCCTGGAGGTCTTACGATAGTCCCTGGCCTTGTGGGGCTCACAGTCTAGAGAGGAAAACAGATAAGTGTTCAGGTGGTGACTGCTACAGGGAAGAAGCACTGGGCAGGGGCTGTGGAAGCCCAGAAGTCCCTACCTCCCCATGGGGGTGGTCAAGGAGGGCTTCCTGGAGGAAGTGATGTCTTGGGGATTGCTGAAGGGCAAGTCGGCTTATCCAGCAAAGGTGAAACAGATGAGGAAGGAAAAACAGGCAGAGGAAAACCATACACAAAGACTGGTTGGAAGGCAAGAACCAAACACAGGTGGTTGAGTGGCTGGAAGACAGAATATGGGAGGGCAGAGGGTAAGATGAGGCCTGAAGGAAGGGCAGGGACACTGGCATTCGAGGGCTGGAGGAGGGTGTTTGGGCTTCATCCCTGGGTGATGGGAGCCCCGGATGGGTTGAGCAGGGAGCAGCCACAGATCAGGGACAACAGGTGGAAGGGGTTAGGTGTGAACCTGACAGCATGGGAGGACCCGGACCCCCGAACCCACACAGACAACCCACTCCTCACCCCCAGGTGTTCCGCACCAAGACGGCAGCCCTGAAACAGCGTTGGGAACAGCTGGAACAAAAGGAGCGGGAGCTAAAGGGATCGTTCATCCGCTTTGACAAGTTTTTGCAGGTAGGTGGAGCCTCCTGGGGGGGAGGCGGGGCCTATGGGTAGCAGCCCACACTCCTATAGGGGCCCGGCAGGTAACAAAAATAAAAGAAGTGGTTTTCGTCATGCAAAAGGAAACGGCGGGAAACACACACGCACTGCCTGAAGCAACCGATTAAAAAAAAAAAAAGCGGGCGGGGGAGTTGGGTGAAGAGCCAGCTTCCGAGCCAGGCCTGCTGGCCGCCCCTGGTTTTGCGAGCGAATGTCAGGGCAGGATGGAGGTGCCGAACTCCCCGCCAGCTCCTGAGTCCTGAAGGTCGTCTTCTCCCCACCGTACTCCCCAGGACTCCGAGGCCCGGCGCAATCGCGCGCTGCGGAGGGCGGCGGAGGAGAGGCACCAGGCGGGCCGTCGGGAGGTGGAGGCGCTGCGTCTGTGGACCCAGCTCCAGGAGCTACGGCGGGAACACGCGCGGCTGCAGCGCCGGCTTAAGCGCCTGGAGCCCTGCGCGCGCCTGCTGGAGCAAGCGCTGGAGCTGCTGCCCGGGGTGAGTCCGGGGCAGGAGGCTGGGAGCTCGGCGCCACCGCGTGGCGCTGAGTGGCTCAGGGACGGCTTCGGACCGGCGAACTACTGGTTCGCTGAACTACTGGAGATCTTGGCATGCATGCCGAGAACTATCACTTATGGAGCGCTCACTGTAAGCAAGGGATACGCTTTGGTTTTTGTGGTTGTTAGTTTTGGAGGTTTTTTGAGACAGTGTCTCGCTTTGTCACCAGGCTGGAGTGCATTGGCGCGATCACGGCTCACTGCAGCCTCGACTTCCTGGGCTCAAGGGATCCTCCTGCCTCTGCCTCCCAAGTAGCTGGGACCACAGGCGCACGCCACCACGCCTAGCTATTTTTTTAAATTATTATTTTTAGTAGAGACGGTGGTTTCTCTATGTTGCCCAGGCTGGTTTCGAACTCCTGGGCTCAAGCGATCCTGCCACCTCCGCTCCCAAAGTGCTGGGATTACAGGTGTGAGCCACCGCCCACGCTTTGTTCTTGAATCCTCCCCAAAGTCCAGTGAAGTAAGTCCTGTTATTGTCAACTGTCCACCCCATTTTACAGATAGGAGAACTGAAGATTCAGAAAGCTAACTCTGGCCGGGCGCGGTGGCTCACGCCTGTAATCCCAACACTTTGGGGGGCCAAGGCGGGAGGATTGCTTGAAGCCAGGAGTTCGAGACCAGTCTGGGTAACATAGAGTGACACCTGTCTCTACAAAAAATTAGTCGGGCGTGGTGGCGTGTGACTATAGTCCCAGCTACTTTGGAGCGGAGATGGGAGGATCGCTTGAGCCCAGGAGTTCAAGATGACAGTGAGCTATGATCGCGCCACTGCACTCCAGCCCAGGTGACAGAGCGAGACCTTGTCTCTAACAAATGGAGGTTGACATTTAAGTCACTTTCCAGAAAGATTATTCCAATAATAAGGAACGCTGGCGGCCAGGTGGGATGGAGAGGGTAAGGCACTGCAGGCCCATGTGAGTCCCTTCCCCGCCCCCGACTCTAGTTCCAAGAGGTTCCGGAGCTGGTGGCGCGCTTCGACGGCCTGGCCGAGACGCAGGCGGCGCTGAGGCTCAGGGAGCGCGAGCAGCTCGCGGAGCTGGAGGCGGCGCGAGCGCGGCTGCAGCAGCTGCGGGACGCCTGGCCGGACGAGGTGCTCGCACAGGGCCAGCGGCGGGCACAGCTGCAGGAGCGCCTGGAGGCTGCCAGGGAGCGTACGCTGCAGTGGGTACGACCCGCCCTAGGTGGGGGGCGCTCCGGACCCCAGGCTTCCACAGCCGGGCGGGGAGGAACGCCAGGGCTGATGAGGACCGATGGGGCAATGCTTACCCCAGAGGGTCCGCTGCACTAAGGAGGGGAATCTCAGGCATCACCGAGCCGTTTCGGGCATGAGGCCCCGCCCCATCCGCCTGCACAAGGCTCCTGCACCCCACTCCCGAGAGCACCTGACTGCCTGACTGGCAGAGGTGGATGGGAAGAATGCCGGGCGCGGTGGCTCATGCCTGTAATCCCAACACTTTGGGAGGCCGAAAGGGGCGGATCACCTCAGGTCATGAGTTCGAGACCAGCCTGGCCAACATGGTGAAACCCTGTCTCTACTAAAAATACAAAAATTAGCCAGGTCCACTGGCGGGCGCCTGTACTCCCAGCTACTCGGGAGGCTGAAGGAGGAGAATCGCTAGGCTCTGGGAGCCGGCGGTTGCAGTGAGCTGAGATCAGGCCACTGCACTCCAGCCTGGGCGACAAAGCTAGACTCCATCTCAAAAAGAAAAAAAAAAAAAGTGGCTGGGAAGAGGGGGCAGCCCGCCTTGGCCCAGTTGCCATAATTGGGAGTGGGGCGGGTGTTCTCCAGGAATCCAAGTGGATTCAGATTCAGAACACAGCAGCGGAGAAGACTCTGCTCCTGGGACGCAGCAGGATGGCTGTGCTCAACCTGTTCCAGCTAGTGTGCCAGCATCAGGGGCAGCCTCCCACCCTGGACATCGAGGACACGGAGGGACAGCTAGAGCACGTGAGGACCCCTCTTTATGGCACCTCCAGCCCCCAAACACTCCCTCTTTGGAAAAATGAGCCTAAAACCCCACAGTTAGTGACACCTTCTCTGGGTTAAGCATGGCCCTCTACGGTCAGAGCCCTTGCCCCAGCCGTGGCTCGATTGTCGGGCAGGCACCCGGTCTAGGATGGATTCCTGGGTGCATCTTGGCTCTGACAGTGGCCAGAAGAAAGCCATGCCCCTCTCTGCGACAAAGCTAGACTCTATCTCAAAAAGAAAAAAAAAGTGGCTGGTCTCAATGCCCTCCCTCTACCAGGAAGGCCAGGGTTTGTGCTGAGTCCCTCTTTTCTCACAGGATCCAACAGCCCACACGTGTCAACACCTGTAAAAAATCATGAGGTCCAGACTCGCTCTTCATTAATCTCTGGCCCTCTGTCTCCCTGCTTCCTGCACAGAGAGGCCTCAGCTTCCGCAGGGAGGGTGAGGGTGGGGTTAGGCTGAGTTGTGTGGTGTAGAATGTGCCATAGGCTTTTTTTTTTTTTTTTGAGACAGAGTCTAGTTCTGTCACCTAGGCTGGAGTGCAGTGACACGATCTCGGCTCACTGCAACCTCTGCCTCCTGGCGATTCTCCTGCCTCAGCCTCTCGAGTAGTTGGGATTACAGGCACACACCACGACACCCGGCTAATTTTGTATTTTTAGTAGAGCTAGGGTTTCACCAGGTTGGCCAGGCTGGTCTCGAAATCCCAACCTCAAGTTATCCTCCCGCCTCAGCCTCCCAAAGTGCTAGGATTACAAGTGTGAGCCACCACACCCAGCGTGACATAGGTTTACAATGGAGGAAGATTTCAGACTTCAAACACTTCTTTTGTTTCTAGTGGGTATACCCAAAGCATGGCCCCTTTGAGAACTGGAGGAAAAGTAAAGGTGTAGCAGGATGAGCCACAGACAAAACTCCTCAGACACCGGATTAAAGAAGGAAGAGGTTTTTATTCGGCCGGGAGCTCGGCTCTTAAGACACGAGTCTGCCAATGCTCCCAGCCGAATAAAAAACTCTTCCTTCTTTAATCCGGTGTCTGAGGAGTTTTGTGTTAATCCGGTGTCTGAGGAGTTTTGTCTGCGGCTCGTCCTGCTACAAAGGGAGGCATCCCACCTTTTCCCCAACCGATTCCCATTCCTGTTCTGCCCAATGGCCAGGATTCCAACCGAATGCCAAGATCTGGGTCCTGGGAATCCGCTTCGCCCCTCCTAGTTGGTTGGATGCATCGATGCCACTGTTCTTCCAAGCCTGGCCTGTTACCTTGTGGCACATGAGACTAGCAGAAACACAGGCTTGATGTAAACAGGCAAAAGTCAGTGCCTTTTCTTTTAGTCCAACTGGAGTAGTGGAAATTAAGAAGAAACAAAATCTGTAACCGGTTGTAATTAATTCGTTGTAAACACCACTGCACTAGGACCAGACCATCTCTTTTCAAAATCAACTCTCTGCCCGTCAAGGAGAAAGGCTCCACGGAGGGACATGATGCCTTTTCCCACCTCCCCTAACACTCCCTGGCCTCCGGGCCTGGGACTCACACTGTCCTGCGGCTGCCAGAATTCAGTAACAGCTTCATTTGTTCATTGCATTATTTTTCCAGTTGCCCCCTAGTTATGACAAGGGGTAACTATTTTTTTCCATTTTTGGTGGAGATAAAAAGTTTCCTTCTCAGCTGTTGATACGGTGATGAATATGAGGGGGAGCCCACAGATGGTTGTAAGTTCACCCTCAAGTTCTAGTTTTTACAATGGATCCATGGTATTTATTAAGTTCATATTCATAAAGAAGTTAATTAAAACAAAAGGAGAGCCACCCACGGAGATAAGAGTAGGTCACAAACCAATGAATATGACTGATCCAGTTACAAGAAAATAAAGCTGATTGATGTAAATGAAAATACTAATTGGATAGTGCAGGTGACAGCAGCGAGGAAGCTGTGAAGGTGTCTGCTCACGCAGCAGTTGGGAAGGTTGGCCTGAGGCTTTCAAAACCCAGAACGGTTTAGGATCTCAGTCACCACCTCTGGGAACCACCATCATCACTGTTCTTTTAATGAGGGGATCTCCAGTCCCCGCCCTACCTTTCGGCCTCCCCCGCGTGTTGAGGGGTGGGGGCTGGACAGTGACTCTGGGGCTGGGATGTGACTTCGTGCTGGGCCCCCCCAGGTGAAGCTGTTCATGCAGGACCTCTCTGCCATGCTGGCCGGCCTGGGTCAGGCTGAGCCTGCAGCCCCTGCCTCCTAGCCCTGACACAGGTGAGCAGCGGGAGAGGGAACCCCTGAGAGACCCTGAGATAGGAGGGCCCACATTTCCAATGGGGTGTGGACTGAGTGGCTCTTCCTGAATCCGTTTCCTCATTGGGAAGATGGGAGGGCTGTGCCTGTTCAGAGTGCTGTGGGCCTGCCATGAGGGGCACATAGCAAGCACTCCATAAATGCAGGCCCTGATGAGGAGGTGATGGGAAGGTCAAGGGGCTATGTGTGGGGCAACTGCCTCTAAAATGAGATCAGACCAGGCCCTCCCTGCCAGGGTGGTTGGGGCATGAAAAAAAACTCTTTGTCAGGTCTCAGAACAGGGTCCATGCTAGATGAGAGATCACCAAGGCCCCCTCCACTATGGACTCTGCCAGGTGAGGGGCCCAGCCTGAGAATCCAGCTGCTGGGGCTGCCCTTGACCTTCTCAGAACCTCAAACAGGGGGTGGGTGGCAAGAAGACAGAGGACAGGCCAGGTTCTGACCTCCAGGTGTGGAGGGGCCGCGTTAACCTCTTCATAGCCAGAGGGGAGCAGCTGTGTCCTTGCCCCCTGGGCTGGGCATCCTGTTCCCCTCCCCCAGCCCACTCCCAGCTGCAACCATGTCCAGTGGGAGGAAGGGGGACCAACTCCCGCCTCTGGCACCTGGTTTGTGCTCTGAGCTTCACTTTCCTCATCGCTAAATGGACAAGGCAGCAGAACTCACCCTCAGGAGACCCGCAACTCCTCTGCCACGTTAGCTGGGATTTTAGTACCTGGGTCTCTCCATTCCAGTTCCCCAAGTAGACCGCACTCCTGGCCACCAGCAGTGCTCAATAAAGATTTATTACATTAAAAATTCCATTGCCAAACCCTGAGGCACTCAGGGCTCTGACCGGTGCAGCCATGACCTCTGAACCCAGAACACATGGAAGCAGCAGCAGCTGAGTTGCCAACTCAAGTCTTGGCCTGCCTGGCTTTGCTGGCGAACTCCTGCACACCCTTCAAGGCCCTGTTCAAATGTCTCTGTCTTAGGCTGACGCAGCTGCTGCCCTTCTGTGGCCATACAGTGCTCCTTTTCACAGATGATGGCTCCTGCAGGGAGTGCCCCCAGTGCCCAGCACAGGGCCAGGCACACAGTGGTGCACGGGAACGTCTGCTGATGCCCACCCTAAGGCCAATCAAGGAGCCACGGGGCTGGGTCCTGGTCCTCACATCCTCTTCCGCATCTTGCCCTTCTTGGAGCGGGCACCCCGGCCGAAGGCGCCCTGCTGCAGCTCCTGGACGCGGCGGCGGTTGCGGGCAGAGAGCTGCTTGAGGCCACCACGCTGCAGGAAGTGCAGCTTCTGGGCCCGGCGCCGCTGCTTCAGGATCTGCTGCTTGGTCTTGAGTTCCGGGCGGACTCGGCCTGCAGGGGTGCCTGGGGCGTGGGGCCGGGATGCACCTGCTGGGACAGGGATTCAGGGAGCTCAGCTGTTGGGATCACTCCCAAGATCCCCTCCTCCCAGAAGCTTGCAGACTCCTCCCCTGCCCCTACTCCTGTTCTGTGCTTATTGCTGTGGCCCAGTGTCTGTACACAGTAGGTGGCTAATAAAGTTTTAGGCAGCCTCATGGAGTGGTCAATAACACGGGGCCAGAACCGCTGGGGTTCAAATCCCAGCTGTGACCTCTTGGACCGTGGGCAAGAAGTTAACGGCTCTGTGCCTCAGTTTCCCCATCTATGAATTATAAATCACAGCACCTCCCTCATGGGTGAAGAGTAAATGCATTTCCATGGTGTAAAGTGGTCAGAATTTCAAGGCCTGTCCCATAGTGGGAGCCTTTTGGGCATGACTGTTACTATTAAAAATTCTCCAACCAAGGAGTGTATGTCTCCACAGCACACCTACGGCACGCCAGGCTCTGAGGCCCCCCATAGTAACCGATACAGACCTCAGCCTCTGTCTCCATGGACACCATGCTCTAGGCTTGTTAGATGAAAAAAGAGTGTAGATGAACCTTCCTTTAGGTGGGAGAGGAATCAAAGAAGGCCAGAGAGGGAGAGGGACTTATCTGAGATCACACAGCAAAGCAGCAGCAGCAGCAGAGGTCAGCGACCCTGCCCCAGCCCCACAGGTGGGCATCAGGTAGTCCATTCTTCTAGTTCTCCGGGAGGCAAGCACCACCCTCCCTGGCTCCCACTAAGCCCTGTGTCCTCCTCCTCCTCTTCCCCATTCATAACAGCAGCCTCCCCAGGGCTCCTAGAGGGATGACCATTAAGGTGGTCCCAGCTGTCTCCAATGGAGCCAGGGTGCCTCGCAGGACCTATCACCTCCAATGAGGACAGCAAAGGAAGAACAGCTGCTTTTTCCCAAAGCCCACAGGTCGCCCCCGTCTCCCCAGCCCCTGCACGCCCACTGCACGGCAATGCTCGCAGCAGAAGCTGCTGTTTCACCTAGGTAAAAACAGGCTGAGAAGTGAGGTGTGGGTGGTCCCCACCCAGCCATGCTGACAAGGAGACACTCCCACAGATGGGAGAGCTGGAGAGGGAGGAGCCACAGAGAACAGGCCCAGGCAAATGCACGCAGGCTCACAGAGACACCCAGGGGAGGCAGTGACCAGCCCCAGGAGGTGGAGGGACACAAGCAGGGGCTAAGGCCATCTGAGAGAGACCCAAGACATGGTCCCAAACTCCCCTCTCCCCAGGGAAGACTCCAGGTGGGAGCCTTGGGCAGCTGGGTGACCCAGGTTCAGTCATAGCCCTCATAAGGCACCTGTTTCCTGGCCTGTAAAATGGGTATTCGCAGTCACCTTGCCTCCCAGGTCATGTGTGGCCTTCCAGGACAGAGCCTGCCTGCACCCAGCAAGCGGGAGCCCCTCCCTGATAACAGCCCTTAAGCACAGGCTCTGGCAGACAGAGCCGGCTTCAAATCCACCTTAGCTTGTTACTGGCTGAGGGACCCAGGCCAGATCAAAGAGGTCCAAGTCCTCAGATGACCAAATGTACCACTTGCCAACCCACATTTCAAGGAAGTATCTTCCTCAACATCCCCTGTGATCGCCTCCTCCCAGAACCAAAGCTGCTTCTGACTGCGTCTTTGGTGACATGAACTTCCCCACAGCATTGCTAAAAAGAACGTCACTCCTAAGGATGCCACAGGGAATCAATTCATGCTCACTGTCAGGTCGAACCACATGCAAATGCCATTTTTGCAGGTGAAAATGGCCTGCATTTGCACAAGGTTCCACCTCCCGGGTTCTCTAGGATTTTACACAATCGGCTTAATTAGGTGAACAGGGCATCTACCAGAAGTTATCCCTGTAGCTTCATCTGTGAAGTGGAAGGGGGTCGGGGACAAGGCACCTGAGGGGCATGGCACTTCCCAGCGCCTGTCAGGCGGTGCTCGTGACCATCAGAGGCCGGGACAGTAGGAAGGGGGAAACTGTGGGTGTGGGGGTTGGGTGGGGGGGATCATGGAGGGACCCAGGGTTTTGGCAGCATACCCCAACACACCCAGCTCTGGGGCTCTGCAGTAGCCCCTGCACCTGTGCCTCAGCGTTACCCTAATCTGACCACAACTGCTCTGCCTACCTGTGCACCCACACTCCCCACCCTGGCTCTCACCTTGGCCACGGTCTCGCTTCCCACCTCTTCGCTCTGGGCCTCGCCGGTCAGATGCCCCTTCTTCGTCCGAGTCACGATCATCAATTTTCTGTTTCTGTTTCCACTTCTGATAGCTGGGAAACCTCGTTAAGGAAGCTGCGTGAAGCCCCTGGGATGGGAGAAGGCTCCTCCCCACACTGCCCCAGCAGACAGAGTTCCGTTATCCCAGCCGCAGCTGAAGCTGCTCGGCCCCGCCCCCAGCACACAGGTCCCACTTATTGGAGATGCTGTTGCTGAAGCTGCTCGGCCCCGCCCCCAGCACCAGGTCCCACTTATTGGAGATGCCGCTGCTGAAGCTGCTGGGCCCGCCCCCAGCACAGGCCCCACTTACTGGAGATGCTGCTGCTGAAGCTGCTGGGCCCCGCCCCCAGCACAGGTCCCACTAGTTCGAGATGCTGCTGCTGAAGCTGCTCGGCCCCGCCCCCAGCACCAGGTCCCATCTATTGGAGATGCGGCTGCTTAAGCCGCTCAGCCCCGCCCCCTCCTCCCCGCCCCCGCCCCCGCCCCCAGGTTCCACTTAATTGAAGCTGCTCCTGCTGAAGCTCCTCGGCCCCGCCCCTCCCCAGCCACGCCCCTCAGGATACAGGTCTCGCTTGTAGGAGCTGCTGATGTAGCGGCCGCTCTCTGTCTTAATCTTCTTCTTGTCTTCCTGTCCTGACTGTCCCACAAACCGCTTCTTCTTACGGTCCCTGCAGGAGAGGGAGTTGGGACGGCTGCCGTGGAGGGAAACCCTTGGAGTGCCGGCTGCCGCTTGGGGCCTGTCTCCTCACCCGACCCTCTTGTCAGGTTGTTGGAGCATTAAAGGAAAGCAGTGCAGCCATGTCTGGCATGCAGTTGGCGCTCAATAAAGGCTTCTTCCCTATCCCTCCTCACCTCTCCCTGCAGTCCAGGTCTCAAAAGGGAGTGCGGAGGTCAGAGGACTGCCGCCAGCACTGGGGCCTGGCTCAGGGACAAGGGCCTCCTGGAGGGTTTCCAATCCCCTCCCCCTACCCAGCTGTGACCCTGGGTTGAGTCACATACACTCTCCAGACGCTAGAGTCCTGAACGAATGGGTCCTGAGCCCTGTCTAGAAAGACTTGCCAGCAAAAAGAATAGACGGGGTCAAGATCTCTGTGGTGTGTGATCAAATCAAGGGGACAGCACAGCCAGGGGCCATCACACCTGCTGTGAGTGGTCACATGGGGGACAGCCAGGCCATAATCTGGGCTGTGCAGGATCAGATGGGAGTGAGGACTTCAGGGAGCTCACCCTGCCTGCTGGCATGGAGGGCAGCTCACTCGATCACTCACCCTGGGCCTGGAGGGGTGGCTCACTCGCTCACTCACCCCAGGGAATGGAGGGGCGGCTCACTCGCTCACTCACTTCAGGGAATGGAGGTAGGGGAGGCTCACTCGCTCACTCACCCCAGGCATGGAGGGGCAGCTCACTCTCTCACTCACCCTGGGCCTGGAGGGGCAGCTCACTCGATCACTCACCCCGGGCATGGAGGGGCGGCTCACTCACTCACTCACCCCGGGCATGGAGGGAGGGGCGGCTCACTCGATCACTCACCCCAGGCACGGAGGAGCAGCTCACTCGGTCACTCACCCCGAGCATGGAGGGGCGGCTCACTCGATCACTCACCACTTGAGCTGCTGCCGGCCCCTCGTCAGGTTCTGGGCTTCATCCCCCATCAAGTCCAGGACAGCGCCAGCTGCCTGCTGCTCAAAGGCTCCCCCTTCCCCGCTGATGCTCAGGCTGCAGAGGGAGAGTGGGAGACATAATTGGATTGATGGGACCCAGCGGACCCAACTGCCCCACCCAGGACCCAGCCAGCCACTCACCCCCGCTCGCTGTCAAAGTCCTTGGGCCGGTAGGGGATGTAGAATTCCTGGTCCCGCTGCCGGGCCTCCTCCCTCCGCCTCTTGGCTCCCCTGTTGGGTCCTGACCGCTGCCGCTTCCGGCCCACGACCTCTGAGAAAATGTCCTGGCAGAGCACAGACCAAGGCCCAGTGTCATGCCTGCTGCCCCCTGGGGACTTCCCCCTGCCTCCCTACCCACCAGCCTGGCCACAGTGAGGGGCCAGTGGCTTCTCGGGGACTTTCAAAGCTTCATTTTGCCATTTCTTAGCTGGGTGACAGTGTCTCCTGTGGGACCCTCAGTTTCCTCATCTGCACACACAGTGCAACCCCTGCCTCAGGGACCAGCAGAGGCAGGACAGCTGGGTGAGGAGGAGAGTGCCGGCCGAGGGAGACCCAACTCCCCATTCCAGCTCCGCACCCCAGGCTATGTGACAGCCGGCCCTGCCCCTCTCTGCGCCTGGCCTGCTCTGAACAACATGGACTAGGCCAGGGGTCTCCAACTGGTCTTCTTGGCTACTGAACCCTCTGTCCAAACAAAACATGAGAGAGGGACATCCTGGGGGACGCACAGGCCCAGGACCCACCCACCAGGTGAATGGGACACTTCATGGTCCTCCCTCTGAGTGGAGACCTACACGTCTCACTGCAGAAGCCCTGATGTGTTTGGTGGCTGGTGATGCCCCGGACCCCACTGAGGGTGTCATGTCGTGCACAGCTCCTCAGGCTAAAGATCTGGCCCCAGAGTTTTAAACGAGGGATGGTGGACAAGAACCATGCCCCGACTCTGCAGATGGGAAGCTGACTGCATCCACCTCCATCCACTGCTCAAAGATCCTAGGACAGCCTCATGGGCTGCTGGGACTTAGCCACCCCTTCCCCATACCCCAGGTCCAGGGTCCCCAGGGTGGAACCTGTACCTCCACACTCTCTCCCGCCTCCTCCTCCTCCTCCTTCTCAGGCTGCTTCTCCTGCAGTGCTGGGCGGCTCGGGGCTGGGCCCACTGGGCCCTCCTGCTGCTCCTGCCGCCCCTGCTGTCCCTGCTGGAAGCGGGCGATGGCCTTGCGGTCCTTCTGCCGCTTGGCGCGCATCACCTGGCTGCACAGGTCTCGGCTGGAGGCGTTGATCTCAAAGATAGTCTGTGGAGGGGACACCCAGTCCTTTGCCCACTGGCCTCCTACTCCTAACCCCACCCTTACCACTTGGTGGGCTTCCTATGGGCGTTCTTCCCCAAGTCTTCCCCAGTGTCCATTATCTGCACTTCACAATTAGATAGACAGACCCAGACCAGGCGCAGTGGCTCATGCCTGTAATCCCAGCACTTGAGGAGGCTGAGGCGGGTGGATCACTTGAGGTCAGGAGTTCGAGACTAGCCTGGCCAACACGGCGAAACCCCATCTCTGCTAAAAATACAAAAATTAGCTAGGTGTGGTGGTGGGCACCTGTAGTCCCAGCTACTTAGGAGGCTGAGGCAGGAGAATCACTTGAACCCAGAAGGCAGAGGTTGCAGTGAGCCGAGATTGCACCACTGCACCCCAGCCTGGGTAACAGAGCGAGACTCCATCTCAAAAACAAAACCAAACAAAAACACAGAGAGACCCAGGCCAGGCACCGTGGCTCACGCCTGTAATCTCAGCACTTTGGGAGGCTGAGGCAAGAGGATCACCTGAGCCCAGGGGTCTGAGAGCAGCCTAGGCAACATGACCTCATCTCTACAAAAAATAAAAAAAAATAGCTGGGTGTGGTGGCATGCACCTGTAGTCCCAGCTACTCAGGAGGCTGAGATAGGAGGATCGTTTGAGCCCAGGAGGTCAAGGCTGCAGTGAGCCATGATTGCACCACTGCACTCCAGCCTGGGTGACAAAGCAAGACCCTGTTTCAAAAACAAACAAACAAAAACCCAGAGAGGGTGAGTAACCAGCCCATGGTCACATGCTAGGAAAAGGCATAGCTTGTCAACCCAAGTCCATTTGACTTCAAAACCGGTGCTCTTAAACATGACACTCTCTCCAGCTCCTCTCCTGATCCTAGCTGGCTGGCAGGCTTACTCACTCCTCAGTAGGTCTTTCCTTTTGTGCATCCCCTTCCATATGCACAAGATGGGGTGCCTAATGGGAGTCAACAGTTGGGAAGGAGGGAAAGAAGCTCAGGAAAGCCAGCTCTTCAGGCCTCTAACAGACCAGAAGCATGTCACTTCCCCTTGTGAGCCATCTGTAAGTGCTAGGGAATGGCTGCCCCATAGGACCTGCTGTGAGCCAGCAGGGATGGTTCCAGAACAAGGTGCATCTCAAGAGAGGTTGTCAGAGCCAAGGCTGCAGGTTAAGAAGCTATAAGAAGCTCAGATGAAAATCCCTGCTGGGGTCCTGCTGGGGGTCAGGAGTGCAATCTGAGTCCTGGCACCACCGTTGTCACTGTGTGACCCCAGGCCACAGGCCATCTGTCTCTGGGCTCCACAGAGCCAGGACTCAGAGCGTGGTCTCCACCCGGCCCCACTCACCGCCCGGGAGCGGTAGTTCTTTATGCTGTCCACCAGCCTCAGCCGCTGCAGCTCCTCCTCCTCAAAACGCGAGCCTGGTAGGAAAGCAGCAAGGTGTGAGGCTGTGGGTGGGGTCAGCAAGGCCCACCTGCCACCCCCTGCCTTGTAGAAGGACTCACTGAAGAGGGGGTGCAGGCCCAGCCCCACAAGGTCCATCTCCTTGGCCCTCTTGATGGACTCAGGCGAGGGCGCCGGGCGTGAGCGCACATACTGCTGCTGGGCGTTATCAGCAACGCGGGCCAGGCCCCGTAGCTCCAGCGATGCCTCCAGGGTGCTCTGCAGACCACTGTCCTCCTCGTCCACCACACTCTGTGGCACCCGACCCAGCATGCCATCCACACCGGCCACACCTGCACCCCACACAGCACCTTGTCAGAGGTCTTTCAGCCTGGCCCGCCTGTCCACTGCCCGACCACCACTCTTGGGCCTCACCCTGGCCCCTGAATCACAGGTAAATGGCTACAAAATAATCACTGCAAAGAACACCAGCACTCAGGGAGGAGCTAGAGAGCCAGACACTTGAATACACTGACAGGGGTCAACAAACTGCGGCCGGCCGGCCAGCTGCCTGCTGCTTCTGGAAATAGCTCTACGGGAGCACAGCTCACTACTTGCTTACGCATGGTCTCCAGCTGTTTTTGCACTACAAGGCCAGGGTTGAAGAGCCACCCTGGATCACACAGCCCACAGAGCCTAGAATATGTACTATCCGGCTCTAAAAAAAAAAAACTTTGTTGGCCGGGTGCGGTGGCTCATGCCTATAATCTCAGAGTTCCGGGAGGCTGAGGCAGGAGGATCACTTGAGGCCAGGAATTGGAGACCAGCCTGAGCAATGTAGTGACACTCCATGTCTACAATAAATTTTAAAATTAGCCGGGCATGGTGGTGTGCCCCTGTAGTCTCTCAACTACTCAGGGGGTGAGACAGGAGGATCGCTTGAGCCTGGGAGCTCACGGCTGCAGTGAGCCGTGATGGTGCCACTGCACTCCAGCCTGGGTGACAGAACAAGACTTTGTCTCTCTTAAAAACAAAAAAACAAAAACAAAAAACAAACAACAGCAACTTTGCTGACTCCAGCATTAGAAATTCAATTTCCACAGCAACCCTGTTCTATAGATAAGAAAACTGAGGCTCAGCGAGGTTCAATTACTACCAGGACTGTCAAATGAGTCAGTTGCAGAGACAGGATTCAATCTAGGCAGAGTCCATACTAACAACAGCAATACTTATGGTAATAAGTAACAGCAACAGTTAAGAGCAGAGGATGCCGGGGACAGAGGCTTCCTATGTGTAAGCACTGTGCTGAGTCCATCATCATCATCTCCTTTACCTCACACCAAACCTATGAGGAAAGTACCTGTTTTCTTTTGTCGTCATGTTCTAACTTTTTACTACAAAATATATACAACAGTAAGCCAAGCATGGTGGCTCACACCTGTAACCCCAGCACTTTGGAAGCCAAGGCAGGAGGATCGCTTGAGTGCAGGAGTTCAATACCAGCCTGGGCAACATAGTGATACCCCATCTCTACAAAAAATTAAAAAATTATCCAGGCATGGTGGCACCTGCCTGTATTCCCAGCTCCTCAAGAGGCTGAGGTGGAAGGATTGCTTGAGCCTAGGAGGTCAAGGGCGCAGTGAGCTGTGATCGTGCCACTATACTCTAGCCTGGGTGACAGAGTGAGCCCCTCTCAAAAAATAAAATAAAATGAAATAAAATAAAAAAGCAAAACAACAAAAGAAAAACAAAAAGCTGAGGGAAGAGCATGATGGACCTCATGGGCCCATCACCCAGCGTTAATTACCAACATTTGGCCAATCTTGCAAGAAAGGCCCTGATGAGTCCCTTTTAGAGAGGAGGAAACTGAGGCTCCTGGAGGTTTAGAGATTTGCCAAGGGGCACGTGGTAAGGGTCAGGGTCGGAAACCGAACCCTGCACTGGGTCAGGAGCCTGCCCTCTTCCCATCTCTCCAGATTAAGCAGGTGCTGGGCCCTGCTGACCCCTGGCTAGCTCTGGAGCAAATGCAGGATGTCTCTCCCTAAAAGCTAACTGCACCGGGGGTGGTTTCTGCCTGGACATTGGGGGAGGCTCCTTCCCTCCCTCTGCCCCTCCCACGCCCATGCACAGCTCTCAACCCAGGAGGCTGCAGATCTGTAGAGCCTGTACGGGGCTGCGTGCTGCCTCTGGCCCTGGGCGCAGGGTCCATTTCCTCCTGCTCCTGCCTGTCACTGGGCCCCTGGGGCTGCCAGGTGGGGCTGTGCTTGCACCTCCCTCCCTTGGCCCTTGCACTCTCAGCTTTGCCCCCAGGAAAATGCTTTGAAATGCCCTTTAGGCGCCCCTTCCAATTCACCCCTGCGTGGCGCCCGACTGAGGCCTCCACCTCCAGTGACTGCACAGGCCGCCCCCCACCCCGGCCAGGCCCCGCAGCCCTTTCCTGTGCCCTTGCATCTGACCCCAGACTTTCTGCTATGGTGTCTGCTTTCCAGCCGCCTCCAGGCATGGGCTGGGACACTGCAGGGCCACATGGTCACCTGAGGGGGCCGTGGCCTGGACAGAGACCACCACTGGCAGCCAAGAGTGAACAGCCGAGGCAGAGGGGGCCCGGAGCTCTGAGGGCTGCGCTCTCTGCTGACCACTGGCTAGGCTGTCCGGAGGAAGCCGCCTCAGCTCTCTGAGCTTGAGTCTTGGGCCTCTGGGGGGGCCTGAATCTCAGCTCCCCACCTCCCTGCTGTGTGCATGCGGGTAGGCCTGTCAGAGCCGTTCTCTCATCTGTGAAGCAGAGGTGATGACAGCCCTCCCTCTAGCACAGATGGACAAATGAGACAAGATGTGTCCAGGGCCCGGGAACCAGCAGGACTGCAGGTGGAGGCCCATAGTTGGAGGCCCACAGATGGAGGCCATGGTGATTGCTATTGTCTGTCCCATGCATTCCCATTCTAGGATGTATACAGAAATGTCCTGTGGGCGGCTGGGCACAGTGGCTCACGCCTGTAATTCCAGCACTTTGGGAGGCCGAGGCGGGCAGATCACCTGAGATCAGAAGTTCAAGACCAGCGTGGCCAACATGGTGAAACCCTGTCTCTACTAAAAATACAAAATTAGCTGGGCGTGGTTGTGTGTGCCTGCAGTCCCAGCTACTCGGGAGGCTGAGGCAGGAGAATCGCTTGAACCCAGGATGCGGAGGTTGTGGTGAGCCAAGATTGCACCACTGCACTCCAGCCTGGGCAACAAGAGCGAAACTCTGTCTCAATAAATAAATTAAAAATGTCCTGTGGGCTTGGTCTGAATGAGCCTCAGCCTCTCTTTCCCTCCGCTGCGCTCCCCTGAAAACTCATCAAGTATAGGGTCACACACTAGATGCCTGCAGGGGCTGGGCAGGCCACACTGACAGGAAGGGGAGGCAGGCAGGGGCTGCAGGGGACCAGGAAGCCTGTCTAATGGGGGTGCCACAGCTTAGCACCCAGATCCAACTGTTTCCCAGTAGATACCAGAAATCTGGATTGTTGTGGGAAATCCTGAGTTTAAAATAGAGGGATTAGCCAGGCATAGTGGCTTGCTTGAGCCCAGGAGTTGGAAGTTGCAGCGAGCCATGATCGCACCACTGCACTCCAGCCTGAGCAAGAGTAAGACCCCGTCTCGTTAAAAAATAGAAGGAATCAGCCGGGCGCAGTGACTCACACCTGTAATCCCAGCACTTTGGGAGGTGGGCGAATCACTTGAGGTCAGGAGTTCGAGATCAGCCTGGCCAACATGGTGAAACCTTGTCTCTACTAAAAATACAATAAAAAATTTGCCAGGCGTGGTGGCGGGCATCTATAGTCCCAGCTACTCGGGAGGCTGAGGCAAGAGAATGGCTTGAACCTGGGAGGCAGAGGTTGCTGTGAGCCAAGATCACACCACTGCACCCCAGCCTGGGCAACAGAGCGAGGCTCTGTCTCAAAAAATAAACAAAACAAATAAAATACAATAAAATAAATAAAAGGAATCATCTTCTGCTGGGGTCAAACCCAGCCCTACCTCCTCCCACAGCCAAAACAGGGCCCATGAACTCCACGGGGACCCCTATCCCCACCCAGCCTCCACTCACCTGAGGGCTCCTTGAGGGGTCGGGCGAGGGTGAGGGAGCGGCCCAGGAACAGGTGCAGATCCAGCAGGTAGGGGATTTCATCAGGGGCCACCAAGGAGTAGGCTGTGCCACTTCGGCCAGCCCGAGCCACACGGCCTGCAGCAAGGAGACGTTCAAGCTTAATTAAGCAAAGAAGGACCCGGACCCAGCATGAGTTCCACAGGCCAGACCCTGAGCAGGTGAGCCTGGCCAAGCCTCGAACCTCACACGGCTGCTGTCCCCACCTACGCACAGGGAAGTTTAATCCCGGTCCCTAGGTTGATCTGTGAGAGTGTGCCCAAGCTGACACAGTGCTCTGGGAGACTAGCAAAAATACAGCAAGGCCCTGCTCATGAGCATGATCAAAACTCTTCAGTGTCCCCACTTTTGAGAATTCCCCGCAAAGATGTAAAGATTCACACACAAGGAGGTTTAGTGTGGCCCTGACTAGGACAGCCCCAAGTTGGAAACTAAAGTCTCAAGGGTAGAGGACTAGATAAGTGAATTAGCTGATGGCCACACAGTGGGAATTAAACAGCTCAGGAAAAGAGTGGGCAAACTGCAGCCTACAGGGCCAGGCTGGTGGCTCACGCCTGTAATCACAGCACTTTGAGGGGCTGAGGTGGGAGAATCACTTGAGGCCAGGAGTTCGAGAACAGCCTGGGCAAAATAGCAAGACCCCATGTCTACAAAAAACGAAAATTAGCCAGATGTGATGGTGTGTGCCTGTAGCCCTAAGTACTTGGGAGGCTGAGCTGGGAGGATTGCTTGAATCTGGGAGTTCAAGCTTACAGTGAGCTATGATCATGCCACAGCACTAGAGCCCAAGCAACAGAGTGAGATCCCGGCCCCCTGCTTGTCTGTGTAAATAAAGATTTATTGGAACACAGCCACACTCATTTGTTTATATATTATCTATATAAATGAATAGGCAGCAGTCACACGACAGCAGCAGAGATGAACAGTTATGACAGAGACAGTATGGTCCACAAAGCCTAACGTTTCATGTCTAGCCCCTTACAGAAAAGATGTGCCAACCCATCACAGAATGACATTTCATAGTAAACGAAAAACATTCGTGATGTATGGTGATGTAAAAAGAAAAAAACAAAAAGCCAGTTATAAAAAAGAACACCCAATATGATTGCAATTTTGCATGAAGTACCTAAATCACTACATAGCATTATATTTTGGTTTGTCTCTGTATCTTGGGAAAACAAGGTGTTATGACATTTGGAGATTTCATTTGAGGTTGTCTGACCGGCACTGTTGGTCTTGTGAGGCACAAGAAATTCCCTTTGGGGGCGTCCTGGGGACCTCCCTAGGGACATGCAGAACCAGCTCTCCACACAGCAACAGAAACTAGGGGACAGCAGACAGCAACAAGGGGGAAGTGCACCCACCACATGACACTTATGAATTAAAAGAAGGCAAAGAAAGTAGAATAACAGTTACCAGGGGCTGCGGGAGGGGAATAAGGAGATTTTGTCTGACGGATAGAGCTTCAATTTTGCAAGATGGAAAAGTTCTGGGGCCAAGCATGGTGGCTCACGCCTGTAATCACAGCACTTTGGGAGGCTGAGGCAGATGCATCACTTGAGGTTAGGAGTTCAAGACCACCTTGGCCAACATGGTGAAACCCCTGTCTCTACTAAAAACACAAAAAATTAGCTGGGCCTGGTGGCGAGCACCTGTAATCCCAGCTACTCGGGAGGCTGATGCAAGAGAATAGCTAGAACCTGGGAGGTGAAGGTTGCAGTGAGCCGAGATCACACCCCTGCACTCCAGCCTGGGGTACAAAGCAAGACTCTCAAAAAAAAAAAAAAAAGTTTTGGGGACAGATGGTGGTGACAGTTGCACAATGGGAACAGACTCAATGCCACTCCACTGCACACTGGGAAATGGCAAAATGCTGAATTGCATGCTATGTCTACTTTACCACAACTTAAAATAGAAACATCAGAAGAATGGACACACACCAAAATGACGGCCATGTCATCAGAGAGCAATGGGGGACAGTGATCTCTGAAATGAGACCACAGCTGTTCCGTGACTTACGAAGGGCTGCGTCTCAATAAACCCAATAGCCGTCAAAAACACACGCACGGCACCTAACCCACTAAACATCGCAGCTCAGCCAGCCTGCCTTGAGCATGCTCCAAATACTTCCATTAGCCTACCCTTGGGCAAAATCATCCCACACATAGCCGATTTTAAAATAAAGTGTTGAGTATCTCATGTAACTTATTGAATACTGTACTGAAAGAAAAAAATAGAACAGCTGTATGGGTGCTATTGTAAAGTCAAAAAAACCATAAGCTGAATAATTGGGTTGTTTTTTTTTTTTGGTTTTTTTGAGACAAGATCTTGCTCCGTCACCCAGGCTGGATCGCAGTGGCACGATCGCGAGTTTGAGACCAGCTTAAGCAATATAGCGAGGCTCTGTCTCTAAAACAAGGCCCACAGCCACCCCATGTGCAGTGTCAAGAGTTAAGCCTTGTACCCTCGGCTTCTGCCAGGATCCGGCACCCCTGCCTGCCCCAGGGCCAGCCACGGGCTGCTTACCCACGCGGTGCAGGAAGAGTTTGCCCTTGGCGGGGAAGCTGTAGTTGATGACATTGTCCAGCAGCGGGATGTCCAGGCCTCGGGCGGCCAGGTCAGTCACAATGAGAGTGGAGCACTTGCCAAGCGTGAATTTGGCGAGATTGATCTTGCGGGCTGTCGGGTCTAGGGCACTGTAGATGTGGGCGCAGCTCACCCGCTGGGTCGTCAGCAGCTGCTCAGAGCAAAGATGGTAGCAAAGTGAGAAGGAGACTTGGAGGAGAAAGGAAAGGAAGCCAGACCATGGCGGGGGACGGGCACTGAGGTGCAGAGACAAGACCACGGGTTCTGGAGTCTGGCACCCTTGGTCTGAATCCCAGCTTGCTGGGTGATGCCAGTTTGGGGAGGAATGGAGCTTACAACACCTCCCACCTCTCTGCAGGGTTGTCTGAGGATCAGAGATGATGTGTGCAGAGGGCCCTCTCAGGGAAGCTGCAAATGCCACCTCAGTGCACAAGCCTTATCCGGATTCTGCTACAAACAAGCTGTGTGACCTTGGGCAAGTTACCAAACTTTTCTATGCCTCATTTTCCTCATCTGTACGAATAACTGCCCCTTCTTTGTGCCTTATTATGAGGATCACATGAGTCAGTATATACAGTGCTGAGAACAGAGTCTCAACATGGAACACTCATGAGAGTGCTAGCTGTTCTTTACAGATTACTATTTAAACTGGGCATGGTGGCTCACGCCTGTAATCCAGCATTTCGGGAAACCAAGGCTGGAAAATCACTTGAGACCAGAAACTCGAGACTAGCCTGGGTAACACAGCAAGACACCATCTCTACAAAAAAAATTAAAATAAATAAAAAATGAGCTGGCATGGTCAGGCATGACTTGTGCCTACAGTCCCAGGTACTTCGGAGGCTGAGGTGGGTGGATCACTTGAGCCCAGGAGGCAGAGGTTGCAGTAAGCCATGATCATGCCATTGCACTCCAGCCTGGCCAAAGGAGCAAAACTCTCTCTAAAAAAACAACTGTTTAAAAATTACTATTTTGGTCTTATTCACTGGTGACCCCAGCAGCTGCACAGAGGGAGTGTTGTTAACTGTGTGTGGAGTAAGTGAAACCCAGTGAACCATGTCCTCAGATAACAGACCCAGGTGTAGCTGACAGGGAGGCAGGCACCAACGGAAAGGGGCCCCACTGCCTTCTGGGGCACAGCGACTCCCCAGGCTTTGACCCAGGCGGGGGTCACACAGGCATAACACATATGAAAAAAATCTTTGAGCCACTCACACATGCTAACAGCGCTTCACACAGCTTGCTACATGCAGGTCATGCCTCAATCTTAAGAAGTCAAACAAACCACATACTAAAAATCTACAGGAAAATAACAGGATGGCAGGGACAGGCTTCAAAATAACCCGGATGTAAGGGGAACTAACGGATGAAGGTCAAGACCAGCTATCAGCTGGTAACAGTTGTACCTAGATAACGAGTACCCGGGGTTCATCATATTATTTTCTGATCTTAGAATTGGTTTGAAATTTTCTCACAATAAAAAGTTTAGGCCAGGCGCTGTGGCTTACACCTGTAATCCCAGCACTTTAGGAGGCTGAGACGGGCAGATCATTTGAGGTCAGGAGTTCAAGACCCACCTGGCCAACACGGCAAAACCCCGTCTCCATGAGAAATACAAAAATTAGACAGGCATGGTGGCGCCTGAAGTCTCAGCTACTCAGGAGGATGAGGCAGGAGAATCACTTGAACCTGGGAGGTGGAGGTTGCAGTGAGCTGAGATCGTGCCACTGCACTCCAGCCTGGGCGACAGAGTGAGATACCATTTCCAAAAAAAAAAAAAAAGAAATGTTTTCATAATCCCAGTACTATAATCCCAGTACTATGGGAGGCCAAGGTGGGAGGATCACCTGAGCCCAGGAGTTCAAGACCAGCTTGGGCAACCGAGTGAGAACCTGTCTTTACAAAATATAAAAATAAGTAACAAGTTAGTTGGGCATGGTGACATGCGCCAGAAGTCCCAAGTACTCGGGAGGCTGAGGCGGGAGAATTGTTTGAGCCTGGAAGGTCAAGGCTGCAGTGAGCCACGATTGTGCCACTGCACTCTAGCCTGGATGGCAGAGCGAGGCTCCGTCTCAAAAAAATAAAAAATAAAAATAAAAATGACCATCTTGAGCCCAGGCCCAGGCTCCTGGTCCGCTCTCGTGCTGCCCTCTAGTGACTGCACAGGGAACTGCAGCTCCAAACTCCAGCTGAAGGAGGTGCTCCTCCCACTCAGGACCCTGCTCACCTCAGTGAGGTACTCGGCGTGGTGCTTCGTGGCCACAAACACCACGGTCTGGTCCTGGGGCCGCACCACGTTGTGCAGCAGGTGGAGCAGCACGGCAGCCTTGGTGTCCTCCCGCACGAGGAAGAAGGAGGTCTGTGGGGAGAGGGCATCACGTGTTGGCTTACGGGGTCCTGGCCCAGGGCCTGCAGGGCCCACCTGGACACAACCTCCTGGGATGGGACAGGTGCAGCCTCACCTTCAGCTGCTCGTTGAGCTTGGTATCCACGTCAAGCCGGATGAGCACGGGCTCCGTGAGGCCTGCAGGAGACATGGGGGAAAGTGGGGGAGTCGCAGAGGGACTGGCCCCCAGGCCCCAGCCTGACCCCCAGCCCCCATCTCCACCCCCAGCTCACGCACCAGCCCGGGCAAATTCCACCAGCAGTTTGGGCAGCGTGGCGGAGAACAGCACCGTCTGGTGGCCCCCGGGGAGGCGGGCGATGATCTCCTGCAGCTGCTCTGCGAAACCCATTTCAAAAAGCCTGGAAGGGTAGAGGGCAGGACTGGGTCAGAGGGGGCCTTCACTCCCTGGAGTTCCAACCGCAGCCATCCTTGTCCCCACAACTTCTGCAGTGTCCCAGGGCTTGCCTCACTCTAACTCAGCCCACTCACACTTATCACGTGACTTCATCCTAAACAACAATAACCTTGAAATCTGGAATCTGTCTTGGTCATGTTCTTACAAACTCATGCTGAAATAAATGACAGCAGCCCAGGCTGGCTGCAGAGGCTCACACCTGTAATCCCAGCACTTTGAGAGGCCAAGGCAGGAGGAGTTCAAGAACACCCTAGGCGAGATCCCATCTCTACAAAAATAAAAAATTAGCTGGGGCCGGGCGCAGTGGCTCAGGCCTGTAATCCCAAGCACTTTGGGAGGCCAAGGCGGGCGGATCATGAGGTCAGGAGATCGAGACCATCCTGGCTAACACAGTGAAACCCCGTCTCTATTAAAAATACAAAAAAATTAGCCGGGCGTGGTGGCGGGCGCCTGTAGTCCCAGCTACTCGAGAGGCTGAGGCAAGAGAATGGCGTGAACCCAGGAGGCGGAGCTTGCAGTGAGCCGACATCATGCCACTGAACTCCAGCCTGGGCAACAGAGTGAGACTCCGTCTCAAAAAAAAAAAAAAATTAGCTGGGCATGGTGGCGCATGCCTATATTCCCAGCTACTCAGGAGGCTGACATGGGAGGATCCCTTGAGCCTGGGAGGTCGAGGCTGCAGTGAGCCATCATCACACCACTGTACTCCAAACTGGGTGACAGAGCAAGACCCTGTCACCATCAATCAATCAATGATAGCAGTCCCTCCCCACTTCCCCCACATCCCCCTCCCCACTTCCCCCACAACCCCCTCCCCAACTCTGCCAGGGAGGGTTCCAAGTACTTTACAAGTATCAAGTCTTCTGGTCCTCACAACACCCCTGTGAGGTACGTGCTACTTTATCCCCATTTTGCAGTTGAAGCAGCCAAGGCCCAGAGATGTCCAGTGATTGCCCAAATTCACAGAGCTGAAGTCGCAGAGCTAGGACTTGATCCCACTCCTGTCTGGCTCCTGAGTCCATGCTCTCAACTTTGTGCTTTTAAAAAAATCTCTTTGAAATCCCATGTTAGGGGCCGGGTGCTGTGGCTCCCGCCTGTAATCCCAGCACTTTGGGAGGCCGAGGCGGGTGGATCACCTGAGGTCAGGAGTTTAAGACCAGCCTGGCCAATATGGTGAAATCCCATCTCTACTAAAAATACAAAATTAGCCAGGCGTGGTAGCGCGTACTTGTAACCCCAGCTACACAGGAGGCTAAGGCAGGAGAATCACTAGAACCCGGAAGGCGGAGGTTGAAATGAGCCAAGATCATACCATTGCACTCCAGCCTGGGTGACAGAGCAAGACTCTATCTCATAAATAAATAAATAAATAAATAAATCCCATGTTAGATGTCCTATTATTCATTTCAATACTCCTGAAATGCAAAATTATAAATATTGGTCAGAGAGCCCCAGAGATGAGCTCCAGCACCGCTTATGAGGAGGTCTGCAGCCCACATCTGGGAAGACACTGCTTCGATCTCAGCCACACAGGGCTCTCCTGGCAGAGCCTTCCTCTGGTTGACCTCTCTGCCTCTGCTTTCCCAGTTCAGACACAAGTGCTCAGGGCTGGACCTGCAGCCTTACCGGTCAGCTTCATCGAACACCACGTATTCCACACTCTGCAGCTTCAGGCTCATTTCCACAGCCACATGCACCAACCGTCCGGGCGTGGCAATAATTCTGGAAGAGGGTGCACAGGCCAGGTGACCCCAGGGCCAGGGCCACCACCACAGTTCTCTTACACCCCCACCACTAGGAAGGGATCTCAGGGAGTCATCCCCAATCCACAAACTCACATGTCGGGATTTTCGTGCAGGGCTGCAAACTGGTCTTCCATCCTAGAGAGGAGAGAAGGGGTTAGCTTGATAGAACAGGTCTCTTTGGTTTCCCTTCCCATAACCAAATGTCCAGGCAAGGCTGCACACCCCATCCCCAGGAACACAGACCCAAGGCTTGGAACTGAGGAAAGGCCAGTGCTGAGGTATGAGGCAAAGGCATTGCCCTGACAAGAGATACAAGCTGAAATATGCAAAAGAATGGTAACAACAGAGTTCCTCTGAAGAGATGGGCTCAACTACAGACCTCAATTCACTCCTTCTGTTGTTCCAGATAGCAACAAAGCTGCCTTCCACCCACAGTGCCCCCAGCAACTAACCCCAGAACTACCAGCCCCAACTAGAACCCAGGTTCCATGGATCTCTATCAGCTCCCGTCCTTAAACCCTTTGGGCACAAATCCCTAATTTTAGCCCTCCTCTGCAGCACCCTTGGGATACCTGTAGGAGCCAGGGTAGTCCTGGGCCAGGACTAGCCCAGGGAGGCCTTTCTGACAATCACAAACTTCAGAAAGAATAAATGACAATGGAGACAAAGGCACTGAAAAGCAAACTCTCCGAGAATCAAGAGTGTTAATAGCGGCATCCTTAAACTTTCTCCCTTAAAGGGGCTGCCCTTTAAGGGATAAACTGTGAGATAAGGCATGGAATGAGGCAGGAGACTGGATTCTGATCCCAGCTCTACTATGGAATCATTGCCAAACTCTAACCTGTCACTTCCTCACTTTGCCCATCTGTAAAACAGACGTGGCACCTACTACCTAGGAAGGGTGGTAGATGAACAGCAGGAGATACTACATCTTATGAATCTGAGCTATTACAAACATCCCTCGATTCCTGTGCTTTCTGCTTTCTAACAGCCCACAGCCAGGCGTGGTGGCTTACGCCTGTAATCCCAACACTTTGGGAGGCCAAAGTAGCAGATCACTTGAGCCCAGGAGTTTGAGACCAGCCTGAGTAACATGGCGAGACCTCATCTCTACAAAAAATACAAAAAATTGGCTGGGCATGGTGGTGCACACCTGTAGTGCCAGCTACTGGGGAGGCTGACGTGGGAGGATCACTTGAGCCCAGGAGGTTGAGGCTGCTGTTAGCTGTGATTGCGCCACTGTACTCCAGCCAGGGTGACAGAGCGAGACCCTGTCTCAAAATAAACAAACAAAAAACAAAAACAAAAACAAGCCCACGATTATGCATTTTAAAATAGATACACCTGTCTGTCCTGTGAGCTGATGACTCTATTTCAGGAGCATCAGAACTTCTGAGTGGCAGTGCCTCTGTGGGCAATTTATTTTAATGTTTTATCACATGATTTCCCTTGTTGGTTTTTTTCTTAAGCCAGTCAAATTTAGCAGTGAGGGGGGTTGTATACCAACTTTAATGATACTAATGTTGGTAAGTTCTGATAACCTGCTACCACTGGACCAGCCTTCTTGGGTTTTTGTTTTGTTTTTTCTTTTTTTTTTTTTTGAGATTGGAGTCTCGCGCTGTCGCCCATGTTGGAGTGCAGTAATGCCATCTCGGCTCACTGCAACCTCCACCTCCTGGGTTCAAGTGATTCTCTTTTCTCAGCCTCCATTGTAGCTGGGATTACAGGTATGCGACACCATGCCCAGCTAATTTTTGTATTTTTAGTAGAGACAGGGTTCTGCTATGTTGGTCAGGCTGGTCTCAAACTCCTGACCTCAGGGGATCTGCCCACCTCGGCCTCCCAGAGTGCTGGGATTACAGGCATGAGCCACTGGGCCCGGCCTTGTTGGGTTTTTTGAATGAGCACAGAAGCTGCTATTATTAATAAGCAACACAGCTTAAATCGAACTAATGTCCTGGAGACACAGAGATGTGCCTGCATGGTGGTGACCCTGGCATGGGGTGCAGGGACCTTACCTGTCTCCACCCAGGATCAGGGCAGTCTTGAGGCCAGTGAACTTGCCTAGCTGAGAAGAGAAAGTGATTGAGAGAGGGCAGGGGTGAGATGACAGCACACTCGTGGCCTCTGTGTCCGGTCCCAAGTCAGCCCTTGCCTCCAGCCTCTAGCCAAGCTCAGACACACCTCCTTAGTGAACTTCAGGGTCTGCAGGGCCAGCTCTCGGGTCGGCGAGAGGATGAGGGCGCGGGCCCCGGTCTGGGCACTGTGGGTCTTGAGCCGCTCGAACATTGGGAGGAGGAAGCAGGCTGTCTTGCCACTGCCCGTCCGGGCCATGGCCACCACGTCCTTGCCATCCAAGATCACCGGGATGGTCTGGAGAGGCACAAGCAGGGAAGTCAAGGTCAGCTCCTCCCCAAACACCATGTGATCCAGAGCTTCAAGGCCCTGAGGAGTGGGCATGCTATAGATCTCAGTGAATGGGCAGGCACCCGTCACCCAGCCCTGAGCCTATTCTTGCCCATTCTTTCAAAAGCCTGTTAGCATGCCTCCAAGGATGAGCGGCTCACTACCCCAACTCTTTCCATTGCTGGAACACCCTTCTTCGGAGGAGCCAGACTCTACCTCCCGTCTAGTCCTCCTCCTCAGAACCCCAGAGAAATGGCTCCCACTGGGCGAAATGTCTAAGAAGAATAATCACAAGCCCTGGGTGATAATATAGGTGGCTGGGAGCTGCCTGAGCTGAGGTTCAGCTGTGGGCAGCCTCCAGGAGGCTCAACTGGCAGAAAGGCCCAGAGTCTCTGCTCGGCTCGGCCCAACCTTCTCCACCTAGGAAGTGGGCACGCTAGCTGGGGCTTCAGCAGAGTAAAGGGGGCAGGAGATGTGACAGGTGGGACAAGGGGTGGCTGTCAAGGGGCCAGAGAGGAGGGCCATGTCACTCCTCCCTCGCCCTCACCCGTCGACCGCCCCACCCCTCACCTTCCTCTGGATGGGTGTTGGCACCTTGTACCCCTTCTTCATGATGCCTTTGAACACCGGGTAGCTCAGGCCTGGGAGAGACATGAAACGGTCAGGGGGCCGAGGGAGTCCCCACAGCACCAACCCCAGAGAACTTTACAGGACAAATGACAGCTTCATCAACAATAAACAGCAAGGGAAAAAAAAAAGCAATAAAGCACAAACTGAAAGGTGAAATGAGACTTAGGAGACAGATCTGACTGGGGCACCTGAACCTTATCTGATTTTCTGATGTGAACCCACTCTTGATGTCATGAGACAGCAGGGATCTCTGAACACTAACGGGGTCTTAGGTGACACTAAGAAGCTGTGCCTTCGTTTTAGGCGTGGTAAGGTCCTGCGCCTCTTGGAAGTGTGTGTGGACACAATGAGGATGTCTGGAATGAACTTCAGAATCACCCGGGTGTGGGGAGGGACTCTTGTCCCTCTTGGTGGTGAGGGCATGGATGGGAGCTCACTTTGTTGCCCAAGCTGGACTTGAACTCCTGGCCTCAAGTGATCCTACCTCTGCCTCCCCAAACGCTAAGATTACAGGCATGAGTCATCGCACCCAGCACTCATCTTGATATTTAAATCCTTGCTCCAGCTGCTACTGATTTGTAAAGAGTAACAGAGTCAGGCTTTATTTCTGGCCAGCCAGGTGTCCCCACACCACCCACCCATTCCATCCTTTCCCTCCTTCTGAAATGTCCCTCTGCAGGCAATAAGTCCCCGACTGTCTTTGCCTGTTCCTGCATCTGCATTGCCTTTCCTGAGGCCTGTTCTAACTGCCCTCTCCTGTGTCAGGCCCGCTGCCCCACTAGAAGGCCCTGAATGACTGGAGGACCACATCTGCTACCCCGGTCTACCCAACCACAGTGCTGGGCCCAGAGTGGACATCAGTGATGGAGTGCAGAGGCGGGGTTGACCTCCAGCTGCCACTCCCGCAGAGTCCCTGATGCCAAGTTGCACCCACCCATGGACTGGAAGCCTCCAGACTTCTTCTTCTTCTTGTTCTGGGCACGCACCATCTCCCGGGTGTCCGGCTCCACATCCGAGGTGCATTCCGAGGTGGGGAAGGTGGGCAGGGGTCTTCCAGGTCCCAGCTGGGAGGGAAGGACAGAGAGGTGGTGTCACTCCAGGCACAGTGGGACCACAGGGGGCAGGGAAGGGGCCTGTGCTGTTGCCCTCTCTCCCCCATTCAAGCCAATGATGCTTCCGCCAGATCACGTCACTTTTTTGCTAGTAAGTTCTCCTTTGGCTGGGCCAGGACAGAAGTTTAGAGTGGGGTCTGCAGATAGACTGTCTCGGTTTGAATCTCAATCCCAAAAGTAAGTACATTTTTTTTTTTTTTTTAAGAGACAGGGTCTTACTCTGTCACCCAGGCTGGAGTACAGCAGTGCAGGCATGGCTCACTGCAGCCTTGAACTCCTAGGCTCAAGTGAGTCTCCCACCTTAGACTTCTGAGTAGCTGGGACTACAGGCGTATACTACCACATCTGGCTAATTTTTTTATTTTGTATTTATTTTTTTTTTTTTGTAGAGATGAGGTCTTACTGCATTGCCCAGGCTAGTCTTGAATTCCTGGCCTCAAGTATTCCTCCCTTCTTGGCCTCCCAAAGTGTTGGGATTACAGGCATGAACCACCACACCCAGCCCCTAAATACATTAAAGAGCCAATCGAAATGCCTACTATATGTGAAGTACTAGACTTTTCCAAGATCTCCCGCCCCCTACCCCCGCCCCATCAGCCGCCAACCAATCTCCTTTCTGATCTCTGGTCTGTCTCATGCCTGGCCTCCTTTCTGCTCACCCAGGACCCACTTGTCCTGGCACAGCTAAATCCAATCCAGACACCTCCTCTGGGGAACCTTCTTGGACTACAGGGCTGTCCCCTTTCTCTTAAAAATAGCATTCATGGCCAGGCGTGGTGGCTCACGCCTGTAATCCCAGCACTGGGAGGCTGAGGTGGGTGGATCATTTGAGCCCAGGAGTTCCCAGACTAGCCTGGGCAACATGGTAAAACCCCATCTTTACCAAAAAAGAAAAAAAAAAAAGCATTTACGGAGCAGCAATTCATAAGAGTGGCTGAAACTTACAAGGTATCTACTATAAGCTAGGTGCTGCTCTGAGAATTATACAAATTAACCCACTTAATCCTCACAACAATCTGATGAAGTGGGTACTATTGTTCTGTCCATTTTACAGAGAAGAAAACTGAGGCACAGAGATACAGTGACGTGCCCAAGGTCACACAGCCAGCAGGTAGTGGGTGAGGGATGTGAACCCTGGCTTCAGAGACTGTGTTCTTTTCACTGTGACCCTCTAAGATTAACTACAATCCTCTAGGGCAGAGCCATGGCCTGTCTTGAACAGTCTGTGAGTTTAGAACGGTTTTTACTTTTTAAAGGGTTGTAGAAAAGAAAAAGAAATCCAACAAAAAAGACAGTGATCTTATATGGCCCAACAAAACCTAAAAAAAAGATTTACCATCTGGCCCTTGATAGGTCTGCCAACCCCTGCTCTAGGTACATGAAAACAAGGTGCCTGGGACACACAGGCGCCTGCAATAGCTACTGAATGTATGAACAGCATGTCCTTCAGTCTTCTTCTTTTTTTTTTTTTGAGACAGTCTCGTTCAGTCACCCAGGCTGGAGTGCAGTGGCAGGATCTTGGCTCACTGCAGCCTCCACCTCCTGGGTCCAAGCAATTCTCCTGCCTCAGCCTCCCAACTAGCTGGGACTACAGGCACATGCCACCAGCCCGGCTAATTTTTGTATTTTCAGTAGAGATGGGGTTTCACCATGTTGGCCAGGCCGGTCTCAAACTCCCGACCTCAAGTGATCCGCTCACCTTGGCCTCCCAAAGTGCTCGGATTACAGGCATGAGCCACCACGCCCAGCCTCCTTTGGTCTTTTCAACACTTTTTTTTTTTTTTTGAGACAGAGTTTCACTCAGTCTCCCAGGCTGGAGTGCAGTGGGGCAATCACGGCTCACCTAGCTCAGGTGATCCTCCCACCTCAGCCTCCCAAGTAGCTGGGACTACAGGCACACACCACCATGCCTGGCTAATTTTTGTATTTTTTGTAGATGCAGTCTCGCCATGCATGTTGCCCAGGCTGGTCTCGAACTCCTGGCATCAAGTGATCCTCACTCCTCGGACTCCCAAAGTGCTGGGATTACGGGCATGAGCCACGGCACCGGGCCAACAACCTTTGAAACATATATAATCATTTACTTGCCTTCTACGGATGTGGAAACGGGCACAGAGAGGTTAAGCAACCTCTCCAATGTCCCACAGCCAGTGCAAGGTTGGGCCAAATTTGAACACAGGGCAGTGCCGTGAGAAGCCCTTGGTCTGAACTACACTTAGACTCCTCTTCTTTGGTAATAACCACCTCTGCCCGCCTGTGCTGTTCATTACCTTTAGTAGTTTCTCTACATTTGTTGAGCACCTACTGTGTGCCAGGTACTGGCTAGGCTGGAAGATGAGAGAGGGACAGTGGGATGAGGTCTCTTCTAGTTCCTGCCTTGGAGTGTGATCCTTTCTCTTCATATAAATGTCCACTTACTCATCTTGCCCTGAGCCTACCTGGTGCCAGGCACCCGCTGGGAACAGGACTGTGGGAAATAATGGGCGCAGCCCTTCTGCCCCATTGGTGCTCACACCCATCCCTTCATGTGCATACACATGACATTCAGTAATGGAAACGGCACAGGCCTTGGAATCAGACAGTCTCAAGTTTGAATCTCCTGGCTCTTGTACTCACAAGCTGTGAGGTCTTGGTCAAGCTGCTTTCTCTCTTTTTTTGTAAAGATGGGATCTCCCTTTTTTTTTTTTTTCTTTTTTTGGAGACAGAGTCTTGCTCTGTTGCTTATGATGGAGTGCAGTTGTGTAGCCACAGCTCACTGTACTCTCCGCCGCCCAGGTTTAAGTGATCCTCCCACATTGCCTCTCCAGGAGGTGGGACCACAGGTGGGCGCCACCAAGCCAGGCTAATTTTTATTTTTTGAGACAGAGTCTTGCTCTGTCACCCAGGCTGGAGTGCAGTGGTGCAATATCGGCTCACTGCAACCTCTGACTCCCAGTTTCAAGCGATTCTCCTGCCTCAGCCTCCCGAGTAGCTGGGATTACAGGCACATGCCACCACACCTGGCTATTTTTGTATTTTTAGTAGAGACAGGGTTTCACCATGTTGGCCAGGCTGGTCTTGAACTCCCGACCTCAGGTGATCCGCCTGCCTCAGCCTCCTAAAGTGCTGGGATTACAGGCGTGAGCCACCGCGGCCATCCTAATTTTTTAATTTTTTGTAGAGACGGGGTCTGCCTATGTTGCCCAGGCTGATCTTGAACTCCTGACCTCAAGCAATCCTCCCACCTCAGCCTCCCTAAGTGCTGGGTTTACAGGCGTGTAGCCACTACACCAGGCCTTTGACTATTTCTTAACCCTCTAGGCCTCAGTTTCCTCCTGTAGAAAAATGAAGATGACAGTTGCTGGTGGTGTTAGCACAACGTTGGTGTGAGGATTAAATAATAAGGCTCGTACAGCTCTTAGCATGGAGCCTGGCACATAGTAAACGGTCAACAAACACAAACTGGCCGGGCTCACGCCTGTTAATCCCAACACTTTGGGAAGCAGAAGTGGGAGGACTGCTTGAGGCCAGAAGTTCGAGACCATCCTGGGCAACATAGGGAGACCCCCGTCTCTACAAAAAATTTAAAAATTATCCGGGCGTGGTGGCGCATGTCTGTGGTCTCAGCTACCGGAGAGGCTGACGTGGGAGGATCGCTTGAGCCCAGGAGGCGGAGGCTGTAGCAAGGCGTGGCTACACAACTGCACTCCGGCATGAGCAACAGAGCAAGACTCTGTCTCAAAAAAAATTGTTTTAATTCGTTTCCCAGAGGTTTGGAGGCGTCACACTGTCTCAAGCCACGCAGTCTGGCCTCCCCTTAATTCAACCTCCCAAGAACGCTCCAAACTCTCAAAGTCAGATCTTCTGCACCCGCACTTTTCATTGGGCGAAAGGGAGCCAGGATCCGCCCCACGAGCAGGAGGCAGCCAATGAGAGACGCGCGACCAAAACCCGGCAGGAAGGCCCGCAGGCTCCAGCCCCGGGATCCCAAGGCTCTGGCCGCGGAACCCTGAGCCTGACAAGCCCCGAGACACGTGCTCAGGCCGGCGGTCCCAAGACCGGTCCTCGGGTCGGCAGCCTCCCTCCCCACACTCTGCGGAGCCCAATCCCCAGCTGGGGAAACTGAGGCCTCGAGGCGCTGCCCGGAGCCGGGTCTCGGGCCCGAACATGCGTCCCAGCCCCACGCGCCTACCTTCCGGGCCCGGGCGTCATCTTCCGCCTGGATCTCAAACTCGCCGTCCTCCGAGTCGCTGCCGCGGGCCTGGGAGGCCGCGCCTCGGCGCTTCCGGAGCCCTTTCTTCTTCCTCCACTGGGCCATGGCAGCTCGCGACCGAGGTCCAGCCGCCGGGCCCTTGTCGGCCGCCATTCGGGCCGCGCGCTGGGAACGCAGAAGGGGGCGTGGCCTGAGGAGCGCACCAACTGCGTGGGGGGGGGGGAGGTGCGGTGACCACGTGACCTCCGCTGAGCTTTCGCCAGTGCCTGCGGCCCTCGGCGGCCTAGTACACACGCACCTGAGTGAGTGGCACCAGAGGACCCTCTCCATGTTTAGGGACCTCCTGGGCCTCAGGAGCGTGGCGCCCGCCCCTGGGCGGACTCCCCCCATCCGCGGGCGCGAATGGTCCGGGCCGCGTCCGCAGTGCTGCTGGCTGCTCCCTGGTTGCTGGGTGCAAAGTGCTGGGTTCTGGGTTTCTGGATTCGCGGGCCGTTCACACGTAGCCTGTGCCGGCTCCTCGGGTGAGTCCGTCCGCGCGCGGTGCCCCGGGACGGCCTAGGCTGCCGGGGGTCCGGGGCCCCAGGCATTCCGGGCTGCAGATTGACGGGGATCCCGGATGCACCGCGCGCCCCCGCGCCCTCACCGACGGGTCCAGACCTGGTGGGAAGAAGGTGCGGGGACGGGTCCCTGAGGATCCCGATGCCTACGAGCCAAGATGCTCAGGTAGGAGAACAACCCAAAAATGCAGGGACCTCGGGCACTTTTTAATCGGGTCATTGATTTGGGAGTCGCAGAATGTGGGGCGGTGGGGGCGGCGGTGATCTCCCGATAGCAGTGTAGCCAAGTACACAAGCTCTGGACTCAGATTTCACTTCCACCGTTTTAGCTTTATAGGTGTGACCTACACATGTGACTTCACCTCAGTTTTGTGATCCGTAAAATGGACAAATTCGAAGCTACTTCACAGTGCTGTTGAGAGGATTAAATGAAACAATGCTTGTAAAGCTCTTTGCAGGAGGTAGGCATGGGATCCACGCTGGCTGTCATTGCCCCCACCCCCATCAGTACACATAGGAAAGTGCCTGTCTCCCCTACCACCATAGTGTGTTTTCTGGTTGGTGCCTAAATAGACACAGGTGTCATCTCTCCTTCACCGCCAGAGTCATTCTGTAAATAATTGCCAGTAGCCCCCCTTTCACCACCATTATGACAACTAAAAAAAAGCCAAAGAAATTTCCAAAATGCCCCCTGAAGTTGACAGCTCCCCTTTGAGAGACTGGTTGAGAGAGAACTAAACCCTTGGGATGAGAACTTCAGACACTACCGGTCTTCCTCCATTAGCACTTCTGTGGCTCAGGGGTGCTACTCTGACCTCCTCTCACAGGGAGCCTCGGAAGCAGGGCCTGGCCGGCAGAGCACACCTGCTGTCACCAGGGACCACAGGCAGCATGAAGACCCCCGTGGAGCTGGCCGTCAGTGGGATGCAGACCCTCGGCCTTCAGCACCGCTGCCGAGGTGGCTACCGGGTCAAGGCCAGGACGTCATATGTGGATGAGACTCTGTTTGGCAGCCCAGCAGGCACCCGGCCTACCCCACCGGACTTCGATCCGCCCTGGGTGGAGAAGGCTAACAGAACCAGAGGCGTGGGCAAGGAGGCATCGAAGGCCTTGGGGGCAAAGGGGAGCTGTGAGACCACCCCCTCAAGGGGCAGCACCCCCACCCTCACACCAAGGAAGAAGAACAAATACAGGTAATGGGGTAGGGAGATGCAAATCCTGTACTCAGTGCAGCCACCTGGATTCCAGTTACAGCTCTGGTGTTCACCTGCTCTGTGACCTTGGGCAAGCATCTTGACCTCTCTGAGCCAGTTTACTCATGTGGAAAATAGGACCAATTATTCCTACCTAGGGGGATTGTTGATGGATTAAATGAGAGAGGGGTCTGCAGTGCTTCGCACAGTAACCTAATACTTAGAAAGCTGTCAATAAATGGTAGTGTTGATGGTTGTGATGGTGAACTCCCTATCCCCAAATGTCACAAACTGGGCATCTGAGGCCCAGAGGAGTCAGCTGAGGCATAAGATCACAGAGAAATTTGCATAAGCTTATTAATATTAATGTGTTCGATCCTTGAAATGACATAGATGTGGTGTTTCTGAAGTCATTTTGAAAATGGGTTTTGGCCACATGGGGTAGCTCATGCCTGTAATCCCAGAACGTTTGGAGGTTGAGGTGGGATCACTTGAGCTCAGGAGTTTGAGACCAGCCTGGGCAGCGTGGTGAAACTGTGTCTCTATAAAAAATGCAAAAATTAGCCAAGTGTGGTGGTGTGCGCCTGTACTCCCAGCTCCCGGGAGGCTGAGGTGGGAGGATCACTTGAGCCTAGGAGGCAGAGATTGCAATGAGCTGAGATCACGCCTCTGCACTCCAGCCTGAGTGACAGAGTGAGACCCTGTCTCCAAAAAAAAAAAAAAAAAAAAATTGAAAATGGTTCTTGCTGCATTTTTATGAACAAGTTAGAAAAATAGGAACTAATGCAAATTGTTATTGTTGTTAATTAATTAGATTAGAATTAGATTATTTGGACTGTTTCAGATTAATATCAGCCTGGAGGGAGGTGTCTAGTGGTGAGCCACAGGGCTCTGTCCTGTTTATTGTTATCAGTGGTTTGGACAAAGACACAGAAGATTAGCACAGTAGTTGGCTAGGGCCACCATGACAAAATACCACAGACTGGGTGGCTTAAACAACACAATTTTTTTTTTTTTTGAGATGGAGTCTCGCTCTGTTGCCCAGGCTGGAGTGCAGTGGCACGATCTTGGCTCACCACAACCTCCACCTCCCGGGTTCAAGCGACTCTCCTGCCTCAGTCTCCTGAGTAGCTGGGACTACAGGCACATGCCACCATGCCTGACTTAATTTTTTTTTTTTTTTTTTGAGACGGAGTTTTGCTCTTGTTGCCCAGGCTGGAGTGCAGTGGAGCCATCTCAGCTAACCTGAACCTCTGCCTCCCAGGTTCAAGCGATTCTCCTGCCTCACCCTCCCTGGTAGCTGGGATTACGCCACCATGCCTGGCTAATTTTGTATTTTTAGTAGAGACGGGGTTTCTCCATGTTGGTCAGGCTGATCTTGAACTCCCGACCAGGTGATCCACCTGCCTTGGCCTCCCGAAGTGCTGGGATTACAGGCATGAGCCACCGCGCCTGGCCACAACACAAATTTATTTTGTCACAGTCTGGAGGCTGGAAGCCCAAGATCAAGGTGTTGGCAGGTTTGGTTTCTCCTGAGGCCTCTCTCCTTGGCTTGCAGTTGGCCACGTTCTCACAGTGTCATCATAGGGCCTTTTCTCATTTTTTTTTAATCCTTCAATTACATGCAAGGGCCTTTTCTGTATACACACACACCCCTGATGTCTCTTCCTCTCATAAGGACACCAGTTCTATTGGATTAGGATCCCCTACCCTTATAATGTTATTTAGCCTTAGTTACCTTTTTTTTTTTTTTTTTTTTTTTTTTTTTTTTTTTTTTTTTGAGATGGAGTCTGGCTCTGTCGCCCAGGCTGGAGTGCAGTGGCACCATCTCGGATCACTGCAGCCTCCACCTCCGGGTTCAAGGAATTCTCCTGCCTCAGCCTCCCGAGTAGCTGGCATTACAGGTGCACGCCACCATGCCTGGCTAATTTTTGTATTTTTAGTAGAGACGGGGTTTCACTGTGTTGGCCAGGCTGGTCTCAAACTCCTGAGCTCAAGTCGTTCTCCCGCCTCTGCTTTCCAAAGTGCTGGAATTACAGATGTGAGCCACCATGTCTGGCCAGCCTTAATTACCTTTAATTAATCTAAATAATTAAGGCCAAGTGTAGAGACATTTGGGGTTAGGGCTTCAACATATGAATTTGGGTGGGCACAATTCAGTCCATAAGAACTGGCCAGCTAAAGTTAGGGTTCATTCTGAACCACAGGGACATATTTCAGATGAGAGAAATGAAATGAGAATGGGAATGATACCTATTATAAAAACAAGAATCAGTTATTGCCAGTTCTGTAGACAAGGCAGGGTCAGGTGGAGATTAGCAACACTGATACCTACAACATGGCTGAAAACACTGAGGTAAAGATAGGCTGCATTAGGAAGTATGGTGTCCATGAAAAGGGAGGTGACAACTCCTTGCTCACCTGGAGGGTGGAATTTTCTTCTGGATGCCAACAGGTAGAGGGTGTCAAGTGAGGGGTTGCATAAGAGGTAGAGAAGTTATTGAGCAAAAACCTTGGCACCAGACATATACAGGCATTAGCCAATGTGGTTTGAGCAGCTAAACCAAGTGGCAAAAGCTTGCCCTTTCAAAGACTTGCAGTTTGGGGATAGAAGCACTTTCAG
Organism: Homo sapiens; assembly: GCF_000001405.40. Classification (NCBI taxonomy): domain Eukaryota; kingdom Metazoa; phylum Chordata; class Mammalia; order Primates; family Hominidae; genus Homo; species Homo sapiens. Next base: position 113,189,672 of record NC_000012.12, read on the forward strand.
TCCTGGCCAAAAAAACTATGGGCGTGGAATCTTGCAGGTATGCCGTGAATATCTGTTGAATAAAAAAAAAAAAAAAAAAAAAGGCCAGACAGGCTGACTCAGGCCTGTAGTCCCAGCACTTTGGGAGGCTGAGGTGGGAGGATCGCTTGAGCTCCAGAGTTTGAGACCAGCCTGGGCAACATAGTGAGATCCCTGTCTCTACAAAAAATAAAAATATTAGCAGGGCATAGTGGTGCATACCTGTAGTCCCAGCTACTCTGGAGGCTGAAGTGGGAGGATTACTTGAGCTCAGGAGTTCGCAGCTGCAGCGAGCGTCACTGCACTCCAGCCTGGGTGACAGAGTGAGACCCTGTCTCTTAAAAAAAAAAAAAAAAAAGGCCGGGCGCAGTGACTCTTGCCTGTAATCCCAGCACTTTGGGAGGCCGAGGTGGGTAGATCATGAGGTCAGGAATTGAAGACCAGCCTGGCCAACATGGTGAAACCCCCCCCGTCTCTACTAAAAATACAAAAATTAGCTGGGCATGGTAGCACATGCCTGTAATCCCGCCTACTCAGGAGGCTGAGGCAGGAGAATCGCTTGAACCCAGGAGGCGGAGGTTGCAGTGAGCTGAGATTGCACCACTGCACTCCAGCCTGGGTGACAGAGCGAGACTCTGTCTCAGAAAAAAAAAGAAAAAGAAAGAAAGAAAAGAAAATGGGCACGGTGGCTTACTCCTGCAATCCTAACACTTTGAGAGGTTAAGGCAGGGGGCTGCTTGAGTTCAGGAACTCAAGACCAGCCTGAGCAACATAAATCTGATCTCTACTAAAAATCAAAAACAAAAAAATTAGCTGGGCTTGGTGGCACTGTGCCTGTAGTCCCAGCTATTAGGGAGGCTGAGGTGAGAGGATTGCTTGGGCCCAGGAATTTGAGGCTGCTGTGATCTGTGACTGTGCCACTACACTCCACTTGAACAACAGAGTGAGATCGTGTCTCACAAAGAAAAGAAAAAGTGGAGGCTATAAAGACTAAGGTTATACTAATTGTGACTCTCAATTGCAAGTGACAGAAAACTTATTCAAACTGGCTTCCCCAGGAGAAGGCATGTGGGGCTCCTGTAACAGGGGCTCAAACTGTGGCTGGAACTGTCTGTCTCCACCTTAGTGCTGCTTTTCCCTGCATGCCCTTCAATCTTCAGTAGGAAGGAGATAGCCACAAGCTGCTTTGGGCTGACATCCTATCAGCTTAGCAAGAAGTAAAGTCAGGTGGCAGAAAGACATCTCTTTCCTAGTGGTTTCTGCAAGGTCCTAAGGCAGATTCTGATTGGACAGGCTTGGGTCATCTGGCCATTCGTGAACCAATCCATGTGGCCAGGAGGATGGAATATGCAAATTGTCCAGGCCTGGGGCACATGTCTGGGAATGGGGTCAGGATGCAGGGGCAGTGGATGTTTCGCAGGGAAAATCAGCAGAGACCGGGGGCAGTGGTGCTTAAGAGGCTGTGGCCTCGCTGTAGGTTTCAGACTGGGAGACAAGGACTCCTGGGATCTGCAGGCAACCCTCCTCTGCTGCTGCCATCCCAGGGTGGGTGGGAGAGCTGTTAAAGTTTTGAGGGGTTGTTCATCCCCCAGCTCATGGCGTTTATCTTCCATTTGCCAGACCCATCAGCCACACCCCGTCTTACTGTGATGAGTCGCTGTTTGGCTCCCGATCTGAAGGCGCCAGCTTCGGGGCCCCGCGGATGGCGAAGGGGGATGCCGCAAAGCTCCGTGCTCTCTTGTGGACGCCACCACCTACCCCCAGGGGTAGCCACTCGCCCCGCCCCAGGGAGGCACCACTGCGAGCCATTCACCCAGCTGGTCCCTCCAAGACAGAGCCGGGGCCAGCGGCAGACTCCCAGAAGTTATCTATGGGTGGGTTACACTCTTCACGCCCCCTGAAGCGGGGACTTTCCCATTCCCTCACCCACCTGAATGTCCCCAGCACTGGTCATCCAGCCACCAGTGCCCCCCACACAAATGGGCCTCAGGATCTCAGGCCTTCCACGTCAGGGGTGACCTTCCGGAGCCCCCTGGTGACTTCCAGGGCTCGCTCAGTTAGCATTTCAGTGCCATCTACCCCACGACGAGGTGGGGCCACCCAGAAACCAAAGCCCCCTTGGAAATGATACTCTTTCATCAGGGTTGCCTATGGGGCCACGGCGACAGGTATGGCCCCTTGCCAGGGTAGGAGGACATTCATCACCCAGGGAACCCCAGGTATTAAAGAAGCCCCTGTGGGGGCAGACAGACATAGCAGGGGTGGGCAGTGCCTCCCTTTATCCTGACAATCTCTAGTCGATTCTTGCCTTTTTCTCCCGATTGCGGATTTGGGGGCCACCTCTAAGATGCCTCTCTCCAGCCCTGTCTCAACCATACTCCAAATTAGTGCCAACCCAGGGGCCTGGCACCTCCCACATCATCCATTGTCTTGCTGCCAAGTGCGAATAAACGGCGTGATTGCCAACCTGGAGGGTCCCCTCTTATCCCTTCAAGCCAAGCTTCCTGCTCAGGATTAGTTTCCAGCTAAGTCTGCAAGCCCTAGAGGAGTTTTTCCAGGCTGTCTGTGAAGCCTGGGGAACACAACGGCAACTGGGAGATTTGTGAGTGAACACTGTTTCATCTTAATATGCTTCTGAATTTATTTTCATGTACTAAATAGATCAGCTCATCAAAGCCATGAATGTCACTTTTTTTCCCCCTCAGGGTAAAGGCCATTGTTAGGCCTGAGTTGATTTAAATAACAAAGTTAAATACAACAGATAGTACAAGGATGTGGCAGGCAACATGACAGCGGTGAGTGGGTAACTGAAGTTTGGGAATCTGGGGCTTCGGGAAGCGCTGGACTCTTCCTCCCGTCGGCTTCTGGCTAATGCCACTAACTTGTGGTTGGCCGGCTCTTCCTTAGCTCAGAGTACAGACAATAGTATTTTTTTAGTTTTGTTTTTAAGTTTGTTTGTGTGTGTGTGTGTGTGTGTGTGTGTGTGTTAAGGTGGGAAATAAAACACAATGGCTAGGACTTTGCCAAGTGGAGGGTCCAAGAAAGCCAGACAGTGACATGTGTGTCTGCAGAGCACTTAGGATGCAGCCCAGGACTTAGGAAAAGCAACAAAGCCTTTGCGCAGATGGAATTGCACCCAGATTGGGCAGTGTGGGCTGGGCTCTGGGCCTCTCCTTGCCCCCGTCTTCCTGTAAGGCACCTCCAGGAGGCACCAGGATTTTAGGGAGTCCAGTTGGAAGCCACATCATCTGGTTGGTACGTCTGCCTTGGGGCAGGGAAGAGTGGACACTGCTGGGGAGGGAGACCTGCAGTGCCCAGGACCAGTGACACACAGAAACACCTGTGGGGTCAGGCAGGCCAGCTGTGCTCTCATGCAAACATGCTTTGTTTTTTGTTTGTTTGTTTGTATGTTTGTTTGTTTTTGGTGTTTCTTTTTTTTGTTTTGTTTTGTTTTTTAAGACACGGGGCCTCGTTTCCTTGCCCACCCTGGAGTGCAGTGGTGCGATCATAGCTCACTGCTGACTTGACCTCCCGGCTCAAGCCATCCTCCCCCTCAGCCTCCTGAGTGGCGGGGACTACATGCATGCACCACCATGCCTGGCTAACTTCTTTTAAAAATTTTTTTGGACTGGGCGCGGTGGTTCATGCCTGTAATCCCAGCACTTTAGGAGGCCGAGGCGGGCGGATCACGAGGTCAGGAGATCGAGACCATCCTGGCTAACACAGTGAAACCCTGTCTCTACTAAAAATACAAAAAATTAGCCGGGCGCGGTGGCAGGCGCCTGTAGTCCCAGCTACATGGGAGGCTGAGGCAGGAGAATGGCGTGAACCCAGGAGGCGGAGCTTGCAGTGAGCCGAGATCGTGCCACTGCACTCCAGCCTGGGCAACAGAGCGAGACTCTGTCTCAAAAAAAAAAAAAAAAATTTATAGAGAGGGATTTCATTCCTTCCAGTAAGAAACAAGAAAAAAAGGGAAAAAAAAGAGACATGAGTCTCACTATGTTGTACAGGCTGGTCTCAAACTCCTGGCCTGAAGTGATCCTCCCGCTTCAGCCTCCCAAAGTGCTGAGATTACAGGTGTGAGCCACCTCGCCCAGCTGCAATGTGCATTTTAAACATATAGAATGTTTAAGCTTCCTGGAACTTTCACTAACAATTAGTTACTCACGCCCACCTCAGTTTTTCCTGAAACATCCATCTCTCTTTTGCCTTCCCATCTTCCCCTTTGTTTCCACAGACATAGGCCAGAAATAACCTCTCTTTCCTGGCTGGGCATGGTGACTCATGCCTGTAATCCCAGCACTTTGGGAGGCCAAGGTGGGTGGATCACTTGAGGTTAGGAGCTTGAGACTAGCCTGGTAAACATGGCAAAACGCTGTTTCTACTAAAAATACAAAAATTAGCCAGGCATGATGGCGCATGCCTGTAATCCCAGCTACTCGGGAGGCTGAGGCAGGAGAATCGCTTGAAACTGGGAGGCAGAGGCAGTAGTAAGCTGAGATCCAACCAGTGCACTGCAGCCTGAGCAACAGAGCAAGACTCTGTCTAAAAAAAAAAAAAACAAACCTCTTTCCTCCTCCCAACTACAGTAAAATCTGGCAGTAGCCCAAGGTGACACTAAAGGGCAACGGACACCAGGCTGTGGTGTATGTAAGGCAGTTGGGGGTGGTGAGGATGGGGGCGACTTACTTTACCATCTAATGGGGGCTGCTGCTGCTGAGCCCTAGGAGATATGCAGACCTGGGATATCTGGATGATTAGATTTTTTTCCAGAAAAGGGAGAGTGTTGGATTTCTACATGGTAGCCCTCAGTTTTTTAAATGCTGACAAATAATTTAAAGATAATTGTTCAGGCCGGGGGTGATGGCTCATGCCCGTAATCCCAGCACTTTGGGGGGCCCAGGCAGGAGGATCGCTTGAGGCCAGGAGTTCAAGACCAGCCTGGGCAACATAGTGAGACCCTGTCTCTACCTACCCTTTTTTTTTTTTTTTTTTTTTTTTGAGACAGGGTCTTCCTGTGTCACTCAGGCTGGAGTGCAGTGGCACAATCTCAGCTCGCTGCAATCTCGACCCTCCCAGACTCCAGTGATCCTCCTACCTCAGCCTCCCAAGTAGCTGGGACTACTGCCGTGTGCCACCATGCCTGGCTAATTTTTTAATTTTTTGTAGAGACAAAAAATAAAACATGGGGTTTTGCCATGTTTCCCAAGCTGGTCTCAAACTCCTGAGCTCAAGTGATCTGCCTGCCTCAGCCTCCCAAAGTGCTGCGATTAGAGGTGTGAGTAACCACTCCTGGCCTAAAAATTTTTTACTTTAAAAAAAAAAAGTTGTTTTAAATAATTGTTCAGCTCCCTGGAATGTGAGGCTGAGGGCTGCTGTGACCTCAGGACTCCCTCTGAGCTTTCACAGTGCTAGAGCAGGGGAAGTTGCAAGCAAATTAATCCCAGAACAGGGTTAGGGGCAGCCTGAAACCTGAGGCCCCGCTCCTCCTGGAGTTCCCTGCCTGCTTCTTTGCCCCCTATGGGCAGCTGTGACCCACACCCCGCTGCCCTGGTGAGTGATGTGTCCATCATGGCCATGGCAGCTTCCGGGCTGCAGCTGGGGTCTGGTTTCCCACTAAGGCTGAAGTAAGGAACCATAATCTCTGGGCTGACACCCCAGGCTGCACGCTCCTCATGGAAACACCATCTGTGAGCTGGACACACACAGCCCACAGCCCTGGGTAAAGAGATTTATTCGTAGAGCGTTCCCTTCAATGTGGCTTCAAATACTTTTTAATTTATTAAATAAAAACATGAAAGCCGTGAATTTAGTGCTCTCCATCTCGGGCCTTCCTGGCCTGGTCTCTGGGAAGATAAGGGTCAGGAGCGGGCTGGGTGGAGAGCTCATTTCTTGCCCTTGCCCTTCTCCTTGCCTTTCTGCTTGCCCTTCTCCTTGTCCTTTGCTTTGCCCTTGCCCCGCTTCTTCTTGGATCTGAGCAGGGAGCGCACCAGATAGCCCTTCCATAGGGCCTGGATGAGCGTGGCCGCCCGTACCATGCGCACCATCTCCTGCTCTGCCTCCATCCTTTTCTTGGAGTTGATCTCCCGCTCTTCCCGGATCTGCGCAAACTCTCCCACCAGCACTTTGTGCCTCCGCCTGAGCTCCTCCAGCGAGATCTTCTCCTCCCTGTGAACAGCGTCCAGATCCTCCAACTCCTCCTGGGGTGAGGGGTGGGGCTGGGGTCACCACACATAGAGTGCCTCCTCCCACCCTCCTCCCTGAGGCCCCCTTACCCTTCCCAAATGGTCTTCTGCCCCAGCGATGCCCCTAAGCTAAGCTGTTCAGCATCTCTCGGTCCCAGTGACATGGATGGGGAGAGGGGATGGGCTCCATCCTAGCTCTAGGAAGGACCCAACTGAAATAATTTCAGGAACAGGAAAAGAACATGGGCTTGTGAGTTGGGCAGACTTAGTTTTAAGTCCCAGCTCTGCCACACCTCAACTGACTTCACCTTTCGGGCCTTCGTTTTTCCTCATCTGAAACATGGGGACGATTCCGAAGCCAGGGGCTGTTTCTAGGATTAAATGACCCGATGGACACAATGTACTGGACATGATGCCAGGCACACAGTGGGGACACAAGAAATGGAGGCTGCTGCCATGAAAGCAGTCTGTTCCACAAGACACCAGAGGAGAAGGAACTTTCTCAGGCCTCAAACGGAGTCCCAGAGTTCTTCCTTATGTCTAACCATAGCCTCTCCTGCTGTCATTTACACCCGTTTTCCTTCCTTCCACTGATGTTTTCCCAGCATCTACAAAAAGCAGAGCACTGCCAGAGGACACAGAGCTGGGTGGACAAAGTCCCTGCCCGCAACCAACCCACAACCCTCATGGGACCCAGAGAAATGAGAGCCCCCGCCTGCAAAGCTCCCCTCTCCAGGCCCTGATGGTTGCCCAGGACAAGGTTCTGACTTGCCCTTCTCTGAAGAGCACACCTGGCTTTGGCTCACTCCAGCGCATATTACCTCCAGTGCTCTCCAGTGCTCCCCAGTCCTCCCTGGCCCCTGGGTTGGAGCCATGGGCCACCAATGTTATCCCAGTGCTGGGTGAAGGGTTTGGGCGTGTCTCGATTTGAAGGTTACCACCCCCTGAGCACTTCCCTCCAGGCCAGACCCTGTGCTGGGCACACACACTTGCAGCCATGGTGTCTCACCGAATCCCCGCCATGGTCCCAAAATGGGAATTACTGCCTTTGCTAATCAGATGCAGAAACGGGCTTGGGAAGGTCAAGTACCTTGCTTAAGGCCACACAGCTGGCACATCTCAGGTGCTCAATAAAAACTGGCTGAGTGACTGAGTGATGCAGTGGAGGCAGGCTCCCATCTGAGTCTGTGGGAAGGAGCCCCACCTTGTAGGGGTGCTGGCAGGAGCCCATCCAGAGGAGTATGGGATGTGGACACTAGATGGAGCCATGATCATTAGGCCCAGTGTCAGAGTGTCAGGCCCTTCTAGCCAGTCGCTTTTTTTTTTTTTTTTTTTTTAAATTAATAGAGATGGAGTCTTGCTCTGTTGCCCAGGCCGGTCTTGAATTACTGAGCTCAAGCGATCCTCCCACCTCAGCCTCCCAACGTGCTGGGATTACAGGCATGAGCCACAGCACCTGGCCTTGCAGCTTCTGGCTCTTTTCTTTCCCACCTCTCACTCTGCCCCAGGCTGGACAAACCCTTTAAACAAAGGGAAGTGCTCCCTGCAGAGAGGCTCAGAAGTTTGCCCACTCCATGGACCATCCCAAGGCTACTTTTCCCATTCATCCCATTCCTAGAAGGTCTTGGGAAAAGCATGCGAGAGAGACTTATTCAGCGACAAATACCTGCTTCTCACCCATCTCTGTATCATATTTCTGGATCCAGTTCTCGATTTCCGTTTCCACTTTATATTTCTTCTAGAAAAGATCCAATTTGTCATTGTTTGATGGAATATATTAACAATCAACAGCACTGAGCACTCTCTGCATCACTAGGCTCTGGCAGGTGCTTGACATGCCTCGCCTATTGAACAAGGAGGTTCCCTTTTCTCCATTTCACAGGGGAGAGAACTGAGGCTCAGACATGCTATCTTACTTGCCCAAGGTGACAGAGCTAATGGGTGGCAGAGCCTGAATTTGATGCCAGCAGCCTGGTTCCAGGACATCCTAGGCAGAGAAAGCAGCAGGTGCAAAGGCCCTGAGGTAGGAACAAGCTTGTGCTGTTTAAAGGACAGAAATCAGCCTGGCGTGGTGGCTTACGCCTGTAATCCCAGCGCTTTGGGAGGCTGAGGCAGGCGGGTCACTTGAGGCCAGGAGTTTGAGACCAGCCTGGCCAACATGCCAAAACCCCATCTCTACTAAAGATACAAAAATTAGCCAGGCATGGTGATGCACACCTGTAATCTCAGCTACTCAGGAGGCTGAGGCAGGAGAATCACTTGAACCCAGGAGGCAGAGTTTGCAGTGAGCTGAGATCATGCCACCACACTCCAGCCTGGGTGACAGAGCAAGACTGTCTCAAAAAATAAAAATTAAAAAAAAAATTAAAGGACAGAAATCAAGCCAGTGTGACTGGAAGGGAGTGGCGAGGAGGAAAGTGGTCCCCAACAAGGTCCAAGGAAAAGGCTGTGTCACAGAGGGAGTGTCAGCAAGAGGAGGCTGTATTCTCAGGAAAGGGTGAGGTGAAGCCACTGGGTGATTTAGATGCAGTGGAGGGACATGATCTAATCTTGTTTTTAAAAGATTATTTCCACCATAAAAAGCAGTGAAGCACTGATCCATGCTACAACATGGGTGAACCTTGAAAACACAGTGCTAAGTAAAACATGCCAGACACAACGGCCACAGAAGATTCCATTCATATGAAGTGTCTAGAATAGGTGAATCCACAGAGACAGAAAGCACATTAGTGATTGCCAGGGACAGGGGGAATAAGGGAATGGGGAGTAACTTCTTAATGGATATGGAGTTTTATTTTGAGGTGATAATGTTTTGGAACTAGATAGAAGTGGTGGAAGTGGGGGTGGCACAACATCGTGAATATACTAAATGCCACTGAATTGCTCATTTTAAAATGGTTTTATGTTATGTAAGTTTCACCTAAATTAAAAATAAGCAGGCTGGGCCAGTGGCTCATCCCAACCATTTGGGAGGCCACGGTGGGAATGGGAGAATTGCTTGAGGCCACAAGTTCTAGATCAGCCTGGGCAACAGAGCAAAACCCTGTCTCCACAAAAAATGATACTTTTTTTTTTTCTTTTGAGATGGAGTTTCGCTCTGTCACCCAGGCTGGAGTGCAGTGGTGTGATCTCGGTTCACCGCAACCCCCGCCTCCTGAGTTCAAGCAATTCTCATGCCTCAGCCTCCCAAGTAGCTGGGATTACAGGTGCATGCCACCACGCCCGGCTAATTTTGTATTTTTAGTAGAGACAGGGTTTCACCACATTGGCCAGGCTGGTCTCGAACTCCTGACCTCAGGAGATCCGTCTGCCTCAGCCTCCCAAAGTGCTGGGATTACAGGCGTGAGCCACTGCTCCCAGCCAATAATAATAATTTGTAATTAGCCAGACGTGGTGACATGCCCCAGCGACCCATGAGGGCTGAGATGGGAGGATCACTTGAGCCCAGGAGTTGGAGGCTGAAGTGAGCTATGATCACGCCACTGCACTCTGGCATGGGTGACAGAGTGAGACCCTGTCTCAAACATAAATAAATAAATAAATAAATAAATAAACCCCCTAATCCTACAGAGCAAGAGCCCTTAGCTTGGGCACCATGGGTAGGCCGGCTTCAGGGGGACTGGGCTCCCCAGGGAACTGTCCACTAGGATGTGTAAGTGCATCTGTGCCTTCTTTCTGGGGGAGAGGCCCGTGGCTTCCATCAGATGCTCAAGAGTGTGACACTAAGAGACTGGAGACAAGTATTAAAAAGGGTGCCTTTTACAAGGAAAGAGATTTGGAAGTTGGGTGTGTGCTAGGCCTGGGTCTTGGCTGAGATGATGAAGGAGAAGGCAAATGAAGGTTTTGGGTTTTTTTTTTTAAGAGGCAAGGTTTCACTCTGTTGACCTGGCTGGAATGCAGTGGCACAGTTATAGTTCACTGCAGCCTCCAAACTCCTGGGCTAAAGTGATCCTCCTGCCTCAGCCTCCCAAGTAGCTGGGACTATAGGCACACATCACAGCGCCTGACTAATTTATCTTTTATTCTTTGTACAGACAGGGTCTTGCTGTTGCCCAGGCTGGAGTGCAGTGGTGCAATCACAGCTCACTGCAGCCTCCGCCTCCTGGGTTCAAGCGATCCTCCCACCTCAGCCTCCCAAAGTGTTGGGATTACAGGCATGAGCCACCTTACCCGGTCAGAAATGATATTTATTGAACACTTACTATGCACCAGCTCTCTCACTACCATCTCATGTAATTCTCATGTAACAACCATTAAGACCAATGTTAGCATTTTCATTTCTGAGGTGTGAAATCGGCAGCTGGGCAGGAGTTGAGTAATTAGCCTGAGCTTTACATGCTACTTCTTCATTCCTTTGCAGGGCACCCAGCCTCTGACGATGTGGGTATTATCCCTGTGGGGTCTCAGGAGTTGAGGAACTTGCCCAAGGTCACAAAGCTGGCATGCAGCAATGCTGGGACAGGATCCCAGTTTGTCCCCTGTCCCCAGGCCTGTGTGCTGCCCCTTCCTGCCTCCCAGGAGACACTGGCTTGGATTTGGGCCTTCCCTGCTCCTGTGCCCTTCCCCTCCACCAAGCCACTTCCTGAGTAGCTGGTGCAGTCCTGCCCTGCCCAACACTGCTGGACCTCCAGGAGTGATGGAACAGTCCCACCCATCCCCCCCACCAGGGGCCCCCTCGGCCCATCCTCGCTGCTTCCCGGGGCACCTTCCTCAGCGCCTGCTCTGCCTCCCGGTTCTCCATGACCAGGTTGTAAAACTGTGACTGCAGCTGCAGGATCTCCTGCTGGATCTTGGCCACCCTGGCCTGTGATGCCCGGAAATCGGCCTTCTGCTGCTTCTCAGCCTCCTGCTTAGTGCGAACGAGGCTGTTCTCTGAGAACTTGAGCACCTGGTGCAGGTGGTTTTTCAGTTCTTGGATCACAAAGTTCTCCTTTTCCACCTAAGCCAGGAAGAGAAAGGGCTCCGTTAATACCTCCATGCCCAGCCGGGCACAGTGGCTCACGCCTGTAATCCCAACACTTAGGGAGGCTGAGGTGGGTGGGTCACCTGAGGTCAGGAGTTTGAGACCAGCCTGGCTAACATGATGAAATCCCGTCTCTTCTAAAAATACAAAAATTAGCTGGGTGTGGTGGTGCATGCCTGTAATCCCAGCTACTCGGGAGGCTGAGGCAGGAGAATCACTTGAATACAGGAAGTAGAGATTGCAGTGAGCGGAGATATCATACCACTGCACTTTTACTTGGGTGACAGAGTGAGATTCCATCTCAAAAAAAAAAGCAACTCTCCATATCCACTGACAGTCACCAGAGGCTGGCACCACTGCATCCTCCCTCAGGGCCAGGCATGCCACCTGGGTTATATCTCTCTAATCACACCCCCAACCCCACAATGGAGGTCAGGGACAGCCTGATTACAGACAAGACAACTGAGGCTCAAGGAGGTGGCTTCATCTGTCTGGGGTTGCCCAGCTGAACTGGGGCCTGAAGCCAGGTTTGTCTGACCTTGAGCCCACGTTCTTGGCCACCACTTTCTATTTCCTTGCACGAGTGAAGGGTACAAGCTTGTTGGATTGAGGCCACAGGGGAGGACTGGGACAGCGGCGATGCTCCTCCTGGGGACACAGCAGGGGAGGCCCAGCTGGCAGAGACACTTAGTGGGGTGCATGAAGGTGTGCGATGAACACAGGCTGCAGGGATTGCCACCGGGCTCTTTCTTGAGGGCCCATGTCTGGCTTGTCCCCTGCCTTGGGTGGATTCTAGAACAGGAATGGGGGTGGAGGATGAGACAGTTTTGTAAAGAAGCTCTCAAGGCTTCTCACTACACTAGAGTCTCCCTCTGAGCACAGCGGTGCTATGGCTGCTCACGCCACCATCTTGGGCTTGGGTCAGCTGGCAGCAGGCCCGCCGGGCATCTGCTCACTTCCTGCACACTGGGGGCAGGGAGGCAGTGCCTTTGGGGCAAGCCCATCCTGCAGGCAAGGCTTTAGGCACCAGGCGCTGGGAATATGATCGGCAGTCAGAGCTCTCCCTGTAGACTCCCCACACGTGCCTGATTGGTGTCTCCCCTCACTGTACACTGAGGTTCAATGACATGAAATTTGCCCACCTGGCAAAAATGGCATTTGAGCCCAGGTCAGTCCAAGGTGAAGCCCCAAGCTGGTTCTAGCACCTGAATGAGACCAGCAGGGCCACCTGTGTCCCTCTGCCTATTCCTAGATGATGCCCCTCCCACCTTACTAGTAACCTCCCTGCCCGAGGGCTCAGCAGCTGGTCCTCTGTCCACTCAACAAGTATACATCATGCCCCTCTTTTGGACAGGCTCACTGGGGACACAGTGGCAGGCTGAAAGAGACAAGGTCCCCCTTTTCTTGTGGAGGAGCCAGACCCCTCAAGACCACACAAATCACACACACATATGTTATCCACAAAGTCAGGTGAATGTTATCCACAAAGTCAGGTGAATGCTTTAAAGGACAAATTCAGTGAGAAGTGCCCAACCCAGCACCAGGGAGGGGGCTGTGAATAGTTTCCCAGGGCCTTGAACCTTTCATCAGTGGTGGGGGATAGAAACAGAAGGGCCTGTGGCAGTGCAGCCTGGCTACCCCCATGTCTGCTCTCCCCAGAGAGGCTGTGGGGTAGAATGTGGAGCATAACACAGCCCCAGTGACGGGTGGTCGGTCCTTCCTAGCACTTCTCTCTGCTGGGTGTGGCTACAAGATATGCATGGAAGTTCTGTGTGCCACCTCCACACGTGTCCTTAAGGGGCAGAACCAAGCCCTCTCCTCCCCTTTCCTCCTTCCTGCTGGCTAGACTGGGGGCCACATGATGGGGAAAGCTGGAGCAGCCATCTTGGCCCACAAGCAGAAGTCCCATGTTGGGGACAGCAGGGAAGTCACATAGAAGAAACCAGACCTCTGACAAGTTGGGGAGCAGAGATGCCACACCAGCTCCGGTGTTTCCACTACAGAGAAATACACTGCCATCTTGACTAAGCCACAGCTATTTTGGGTGTCTCTGTTATAGCAGCCAAATCTGTACTCATACACCATCTCACAGGGTTTTTGTAAAGATTTAGAGAGAAAATGTATGTTAAACTAAATACACTGTATGTGTGCAATATGACAATTATTATTAGGGTTTGGGATCATGCTACTGTTTCCCTTTTTTTTTTGAGACAGGGTCTTGCTCTGCAGCCAGGCTGGAGTACAGTGGTGCGATCTCAGCTCCCTGCAACCTCTGCCTTCTGGGCGCAAGTGATCCTCCCACCTCAGCTTCCTGAGTAGCTGGGACTACAGGTGCATACCACCACGCCCAGCTAATTTTGTCTTTTACGTAGAGACAGGGTTTTGCCGTGTTGCCCAGGCTGGTCTCAAACTCCTGAGCTCAAGTGATCCACCTGCCTTGGCCTCCCAAAGTGTTGGGATTACAGGCGTGAGCCACCACACCGCCATTTCCCTTCTTAACAATTCTTCTAACTGGTGTGGTATGCCTATAATCCTAGCTACTCAGGAGGCTGAGGCTGGAGGATCCCTTGAAGCTAGGAGTTTAAGACCAGCCTGGGTAACAGAGTAAGACCCCTCCCCTCCCCTCCCCACCCCTTCCCTTCCCTTCCCTTTCATTGAGACAGAGTCTCACTCTGTCGCACAGGCTGGAGTATGATGGTGCAATCTAGGCTCACTGCAATCTCCACTTCCTGGGTTCAAGCAATTCTTGTGCCTCAGCCTCCCGAGTAGCTGAGATTATAGGTGCACGCCACCACACCCAGCTAATTTTTATATTATGAGTAGAGATGGGGTTTCACCATGTTGGTCAGGCTGGTCTCGAACTCCTGACCTTAGGTGATCTGCCTGCCTCAGCCTCCCAAAGTGCTGGGATTACAGGCATGAGCCACTGTGCCCAGCTAATTTTTTTTTTTTTTTTTTTTTTTTTGTAGAGATGGGGTTTCACCCTGTTGCCCAGGCTGGTCTTGAACTCTTGACCTCAAGTGATCCATCTGCCTTGGCTTCCCAAAGTGCTGGGATTATAGGTGTGAGCCACTACTTCCAGCCAGACACCCCATCTCTAAAAAAAGAAAAAAAATTAATTAGGCAGGCATGGTGGCATGTGCCTGTAGTCACAGCTACTTGGGAGGCTGAGGCAGGGAGATTGCTTGAGCCCAGGAGTTCGAAACCAGCCTGGGCAACATAGCGAGACCCTGTCTCTACAAAAATGTAAAAAATTAGCCAAGAGTGGTGGCGCATGCCTGTAGTTTCAGCTACTCAAAAGGCTAAGGCAGGAGAATCGCCCAGGAGGTCAAGGCCGCAGTGAGCTATGAACGTGCCAATGCACTCAAGCCTGGGTGACAGAGCAAGATCTTGTCTCTAAAACTAAAAACTTCTAGAAACCAAATTCCTTGATTAGGCCTCAAAGGCCCTGTGTGATCTGTCTCCTTCCCCTGCTTTCCCAGCCCATCTTTGTCCCTTCCCTCTAGCTCACTGGCATTCTCTGGGTTTCTGAACTAGCCAGGCTTATTCTTGTCTCATTACTGAGGTGCACTCTACCCTCCACCTGGAACAGGGGTTGGCAAACTATGGCCCACAGGCCGAATCCAGCCAGCCACTTGTATTTGTAAGTAAAGTTTTGTTGGAACACAGCCCATTCATTTACATATTGTTTGTGGCTGCTTTTCCCCTATAACAGCAAAGCTGAGTTGAGTAATTGCAACAGACCATCTGGCCCACAAAGCCTAATGTTTTTACTATCTGGCCCTTTGTAGAAAAAGTTGGGGCCAGGTGCGGTGGCTCACACATGTAATTCCAGCACTTTGGGAGGCTGAGGTGGGAGGTGGGAGGATCACTTGAGACCAGGAATTCAAGAACAGCCTGGCCAAAATGGCAAAACTCTGTCTCTACTAAAAGATACAAAAATTAGCCAGGCGTGGTGGCACATGCCTGTAATCCCAGCTACTCAGGAGGCTGAGGCACAAGAATCACTTGAACCTGGGAGGTGAAGGCTGCAGTAAGCTGAGATCATGCCATTATACTCCAGCTTGGGCATAGAGTAAGACTGTCTCAAAAAAAAAAAAATAGTTCGCTGATCCCTAGCTTGGAAGGTTCTTCCTCACTGCACTTGCCTGGTTCACGCCCTCGCATTCTTCATATCTTGGCTTCAATGTCCCTGACCTTTTGGTGTTAAGTTCTCCTGTAACACTCCCTTTGAGAAGTACATTGTACTTCTCAAAACTGTAATTAAATGAATTCTTTAATTCCTACCTTCCTTACTGTGAACTCCATGAGGCTGGAACCACATGGGCTTATTTATAAGACCTGGCACCTAGTAAGTACTTACAATAATTTGTGGAGTAAATGAATTTTTTTTTAAAAAAAAAAAGCTACTTAGGCCAGGCGCAGTGGCTCACGCCTATAATCCCAGCACTTTGGGAGGCCAAGGCGGGCAGATCACTTAGGGTCAGGAGTTCAAGACCAGCCTGGCCAACACGGTGAAACCCCATCTCTACTAAAAATAAAAAAATTAGCTGGGCATTGTGGCGGGCACCTGTAGTCCCAGAGACTCGGGAGGCTGAGCCAGAAGAATTGCTTGAACCCAGGATGTAGAAAATGAAATAGAGGTTCCTCTTCAAAGGGACTTTCCTCCCAGTCTAATTCAGAATAGGTAGTAACCTCTCTTAGAACCAAAATTTACTCGAAGACCTGTGTTAATATTCTTCAATTCTGCTAGCTGTAATAAAGAAATCAGGCCGGGCGCGGTGGCTCATGCCAGTAATCCCAGCACTTTGGGAGGCCGAGGCGGGTGGATCATGAGGTCAGGAGATCGAGACCATCCTGGCTAACAAGGTGAAACCCCGTCTCTACTAAAAATACAAAAAATTAGCCGGGCGCGGTGGCGGGCGCCTGTAGTCCCAGCTACTCGGGAGGCTGAGGCAGGAGAATGGCGTGAACCCGGGAAGCGGAGCTTGCAGTGAGCCGAGATTGCGCCACTGCAGTCCGCAGTCCGGCTTCCGGCCTGGGCGACAGAGCGAGACTCCGTCTCAAAAAAAAAAAAAAAAAAAAAAGAAATCAATAGGCCGGGCGTGGTGACTCACGCCTGTAATCCCAGCACTTTGGGGGGCAGAGGTGGGCGGATCACGAGGTCAGGAGATCGAGACTATCCTGGCTAACACGGTGAAACCCCATCTCTACTAAAAATACAAAAAAAAAATTAGCTGGGTATGGTGGTGGGCACCTGTAGTCCCAGCTACTCGGGAGGCTGAGGCAGGAGAATGGTGTGACCCTGGAGGCGGAGCTTGCAGTGAGCTGATATCACACCACTGCACTCCAGCCTGGGTGACAGAGCAAGACTCCGCCTCAAAAAAAAAAAAAAAAAAGAAATCAATATACTCTGTTCTTAGCTCCCACATTTTAGCTTAGATATTTGCCTTGGCATACCTGAACCGGTCCAAGCAAGCATTAGGTCATAGCCTATTCCTCTTCCTTATTTGGAGGTGTTTTTGCCTCTCTCAGCATTCCAGGAGTTACTTGCTCTCTTCCTTTGTTTCCCTCTGCCTTTGCCTCTTTTGGGAAGTTCTAAATTGCTAGCCAATCGGGTTGAGTACAGAATGTGAGGTCCTGTTCCAGCCAATGGAAACTGGACACAGCAGTAGGGTGGATGCGTCAGGTTATAAATGACCCCGTCTCTTTTGTTCATGTGTGCTCTTGTGGCAAGACTGCTAGCAAGCAGCACCCTTTCTGCAGAGAGTAAACTAGCCTTGCTGAGAGATCCTTTGTCTCAGTGTTGATTTTGGCGACACCGAGCACCCATTCCCAACACAGGAGGCGGAGGTTGCAGTGAATCAAGATGTTGCCACTGCACTTTAGCCTGGGTGACACAGCAAGACTCCATCTTAAAAAAAAAAAAATCACTGGGGAGGCCGGGCATAGTGGCTCATGCCTGTAACCCCAGCACTTTGGGAGGCCAAGGCGGAAGGATCTCTTGAACCCAGAAGTTCGAGACCAACCTGGGCAACGTAGCAAGAGCCCATCTTTACAAACAATCAAAAAATTAGCCAGGCATGGTGACACACACCTGTAGTCTCAGCTACTTGGGAGGGTGAGATGGGAGGATTGCTTAAGCCTGAGAGATGGAGGCTGCAGTGTGCTGTGATCATGCCACTGCACTCTAGCCTGGGCAACAGAGTGAGACCCTGTCTCAAAAAAATCAGTCAATCAATTGGCCAGGCGCAGTGGCCAGCACTTTGGGAGGCCAAAGCAGGAGGATCACTTGAGGTCAGGAGTTCTAGACCAGCCTGGCCAACATGGCGAAAACCTGTCTCTACTAAAAATACAAAAATTAGCCGGGCGTGGTGGCATACGCCTGTAATCCCAACTACTTGGGAGGCTGTGGTGGGAGAATCGCTTGAACCTGGGAGGCAGAGGTTGCAGTGAGTCGAGATTACACCACTGCACTCTAGTCTGGACAACAGAGCGAGACTCCATCTTAAAAAAAAAATCAATCATTGAGGAAAAACCCAACCAACAAAAGATTTGTGTGGCTTCTTCAGTAATTTCAGCAATACTATGAAACAATACCTCTGCATTCCTGTTCTTCATTCTCTCCGCCAATTCCTTTTCAAGAGTATCAATGATTTGTTGGTTATTACTATTCTGTCTACTGATATCCTGTAAGAACTGGGCCTTATCCCTCGCTTCCATGGGACTAGTGAGTAGTTTTTCAAACAGGAAACCACGGAGCTCTATCAGGCTGTCAATAAAATTCTGGGCTTCTGCACTTCTACCCTGTGTCTGCATCTGCAGGAGCCTAGCAGCCTGGGGGTTGCTGAGCAAGAGTCTAAGGACGTTCTTGGTGGAGTCTTTGATCTGCTGCATAAGTGGTGAGAGGCTGGATTTCTGCAGCTCTATGGAAAGGAGGCGGTCTCTGAGCCACCCTTCCTCCTCAGCCTCTTTCTGCTCCTGCAATTGCCTTTCTTTCTCTTTCAGGCACCTGACGTTTTCAAGGAGGACCTGGCAGAGATCCTCATGCTCTCTCACTGCCCTCATGACGTCCTCCCCCAGCATCCCCTCCATATCCTCTCTGTTGGATGCCACATACGACAGCAAGGTCACCAGCTCCACCTTGTAGATCGCCTCATCCAGGATGGACATGATCCTTTTGGCCTCAATGGTGGTGAGTTTGGTCCTAGAGAGAACCAAGGGTTTTAGTGGATCAGCTGGCCTTTTAGATGGGTCTGTCTTTGGCCCTATTCTGTTGATGGCAGGGGCCTGATACAAAGGGGCCATGGCGAGAATGTCTAAAGCCATCTTGTGAGCAGCCCTCTGTGCCTCTGTAGGTCCACAGAGATGGAGACTTCGGTAGACTACTTGGGTCTCGTGCTTTTATTGTCTCTGGCCATCCTGCAAAATGAAGAAGTAGGTGTGAGTGCAGCTGTGCTGACATCTGTGTGGTTAGTGTGGCTGCAGAAACCACAACTGTTGACATCAAGAGTTCATCTTAGGTCCTCTGTCGCTTTTACACAGAACCTTTCACTGGAAGCAGTTTTCAGCTTTGTGAGGGTGTTAGGGCCACAAGGGCAGGAAGACCAAGTGTGGAGGCATCTCAGGCACATGTGTCAGGCGGGGACCAGCCAGGCATACAGACAGCATTCTAAGGATTTAAAACCAGAGACTGGTTACATCAGTGATGGGAGAGTTGAGAGGCCAACCAGGGGAAGACAAAGCCATCCCGCAATTGTCAATGGCAGGAAGCCACCACATGAAGAGATGGTGAGCCTGGGGCCCAGGGTCACCCAGGGGAAGTTTGAACCACAGCCATCAGTTCCCAGAGGAGCTAGAGACATTGCCGGAAATGCAGATTAAAGAAGGGTGGCGGTGGGGGAGGAGAAATACCCTGGTTTCTTTCTACTGCCCTTGGCCAAAACCAGCAGGAAACCAACTGACAAGCAGCCTGGGCGACGGAACCACAGGCCTCAGCCTATGTCTGAGCAGGACAGGGACAGGGCAGAATGCAGTGTAAGACTAACAGGACTAGGAATGGCACATTTTCACTGATTTTAAAGTTTTTTGGTTTGTTTGTTTATTTGTTTTGAGACAGAGTCTTGCTCTGTCGCCCAGGCTGCAGTGCAGTGCCATGATCTCGGCTCACTGCAACCTCTGCCTCCTGGGTTCAAGTGATTCTCCTGCCTCAGCCTCCTGAGCAGCTGGGACTACAGGTGCACACCACCACGCCTGGCTAATCTTTGTATTTTTAGTAGAGACAGGGTTTTGCCATGTTTGCCAGGCTGTTCTCAATCCACCTGCCTTTGCCTCCCAAAGTGCTGGGATTACAGGCCTGAGCCACCACGCCTGGCCATTTTTAAGTACTGATTTTAAAAATTGGTGGGTGAAATATAACTTTGAAATACAATTTAAAAAACTGTTTCACTAAATGTAATGTTGTATTCTGGATTGGGTTCTGGAGTGGAAAAAGGACATTAGTGGAACTGGAGAAATCCAAATCCAAATCCAAATCTAGTCTAAAGTTTAGTTAATAGCATTGTACCAACATTAATTTTGTAGGCGCTCTGTTACCCTGGCTGGAGTGCAATAGTGTGACCATGGCTCACTCCAGCCTCGACCTACTGGGCTCAAGTGATCCTCCTGTCTCAGCCTCTCAAGTAGCTAGGACTATAGGTGCTCGATGCCTAGCTAATTTTTTAACTTTTTATAGAGATGAGCTCCACTATGTTGCCCAGACTGATCTTGAACTCCTAGGCTCAAGCAATCCTCCCACCTTAGCCTCCCAGTGCTGGGAATACAGACAGGAGCCACCGTGCCGGGCCTAATTTTGTGGTTTTGACAAACACATCAAGGTTATCTAAGATGTTAACATTAGGGGGAGCAGAATGGAGGGCATACGGGAACTCTCTGTACTATCTTTGCAACTTTTCTATAAATCTACAATTATTACAAAGTAAAAAGTTTAGTTAAAAGACTATTTCAGGCCAGGCATGGTAGCTCACACCTGTAATCACAGCACTGTGGGAGGCCGAGGGAGGTGGATCATCTGAGGTCAGGAGTTCAAGACAAGCCTGGCCAACATGGCGAAACCCCGTCTCTAATAAAAATACGAGAGAATGCCAGGCATGGTGGTACGCACCTGTTACTCAGGTTAACCCCAGTTACTCAGGAGGCTGAGGCATGAGAATCTCTTGAACCTAGGAGGCGGAGGTTGCAGTAAGCCAAGTTTGCATCACTGTACTCCGGCCTGGGCAACAGAATGAGACTCTGTTTCAAAAGATAGATAGACAAATAAATAACTGTTTCAGAAAAATCTATAGGGCAATCAGAGATCAGTAATTTATATTGCTTTCATAGTACAATGGCTAAAAGTACTAGCTTTGCACAGCCCCACTTGGGTTCAAATCCTTGCTGGGGGTCTCTGGGCTGGTCATTTAATCCTCCAGAGCTTGGGCTTCCTCAGCTGTAAAACAAGAGTCCTCAGGATGAATGAGAAGCCTGCACGCTGTAAAAAATGTTCAATAAATAACTAATAGCACTAACCCAGGAAAACGAAAATCCCAAGTCCAGGACTTTAATGATTTCTGATGCAATTGCTGAACGAACACCTACTGCCTTGGCCAAGCACAGGGGCTCACGCCTGTAATCCTAGCACTTTGGGAGGTTGAAGTGGGAGGATCGCTTGAGCCCAGGAGTTCAAGACCAGCCCAGGCAACATAGCAAGTCCCCATCTCTTAAAAAAGAAAAAAAGAAAAAAAAAAAAAAAAGAACACCTACTGCCCAGGATGTCTGCTCACCCCCCAACACCATGTCTCAGATGGACACCCCCCATAACATCCCCATCCCTCACCCTGATTCTTCTTCATCTCTTCCCCCTTATCCTGTTCGTTCTCCAGGTTAAGTATCACCATCTGACATCCCTATATGCACCTGTTTATTTGTTTATTGTCTGTCTTTCCCCCTCTCCTAAGAAGTAAGCACCAATGAAAGCTGTAAGTTACTACTTACAGGTTACCTGTGCCACTTTTATTTTCATATTGTCTGTAGATGTGAGAAATGTTTTGAAGAAAGAATCATTAGGACTTGAGTGAAAGAGTTTTGAGTTTGGGTGACTGGTAGAGAAAGATGGGGCCCTTAAGAAACTATGGCAGAAATTGGGAGAGGAGAGGACATTTGGAGGGGAGGACAATGAGCTCACTTTTAAACTCATTGAGCTCTAGCTGCCATACTGCAGTGGACAATGGTGTCTTGGCCTTCCCATTATCCAGGGAGTGCAGTGGCACGATCATGGCTCACTGCAACCTCGACTTCCTGGGCTCAAACAGTCCTCCTGCCTCATGCTCCCGAGTAGCTGATACTACAGGCACGTGCCACCATTCCCAGCTAATTATTGTATTTTTATTTTTGTAGATATAGGGTCTTGCTATGTTGCCCAGGAGAAGGAAGTGACACTTGAAGCCACAAAAGATAACTTCAACTCACCAAACCAAAGAACACACCAAGAGAATGGCAGGGAATCAAAGAAACACCCAAAGTGACTAAGAACGAAAAAGAAAGGCAGGCCAGATCAGGTGCTAAGGATGTTTAGTTCCTTGGCAAGGCAGAATGTATTCAATATCAGGCCAGGTATCATGGTTCACGCCCGTAATCCCAACACTTTGGGAGGCTGAGGCAGGAGGATTTGTTGAGCCCAGGAGTTTGAGGATGCAGTGAGCTATGATCAGGCCACTGCATTCCAGCCTGAGCAACAGAGTGAGATCTTGTCTCTTAAAAAAACAAAAAAACAAAAAACAAACCAGAAGCCCCTTTGGGAGCAGAGGATTGGGAATTATCTTCAATCACTTTGATTCACACACACTTCCTGCTCCCTAATGAATCTCATGAGATCCTTTGAGGCTTTTCCTGAAGACAAAGTTTTAGGAGGCTGGGCATGGTGGCTCACAGCTGCAATCCAAGCACTTTGGGAGGCCAAGGAGGGAAGATTCCTTGAGCCCAGGAGTTCAAGATCAGCATGGGCAACAAAATGAGACCTCTACAAAAAGTTAAAAAAAAAATTAGCCTGTCATGGTGGCAGGTGCCTGTAGTCCCCGCTATTTGGGGAGCTGAGGCAGGAGGATTGCTTGAGCCAGGGAGGTTGAGGCTACAGTGAGCCATGATCGCACCACTGCACTCCAGCCTGGGTGACAGAGCGAGATCCTATCTCTCCTCTTTTTTTTTTTTTTTTTTAAGCTGGAGTTTTGCTGTTGTCACCCAGGCTGGAGTGCAATGGTGTGATTTGGGCTCACTGCAACCTCTGCCTCCCAGGTACAAGCAGTCTCCTGTCTCAGCCTCCCAAGTAGCTGGGATTACAGGCGTGCACCACCACGCTAGCCTAATTTTGTATTTTTAATAGAGACAGGGTTTCATCATGTTGGCCAGTCTGGTCTCAAACTCCTGACCTCAGGTGATCTGCCCACCTTGGCCTCCCAAAGTGGTGGGATTACAGGCGTGAGCCACCATGCCCAGCCTAGATCCTATCTTGTAAGTGAAAAAAAAGTTTTAGGGACAGCCATGGAGATTTCTCAGGCTCTCTGAGGATGAAGGATCTTTGCCCATGGCTACAGGATGAATGTGAACAAGGTAGTTAATGAATGCAGTCCTCTCCATTGTACCCCAAAGCTCTCAGGCATAAATCAAAATGCCTGAATTCTTCAGAGAGTGCGGCTGGAAACGCAACGTTACATGAAATGTTTCCAATTTGCTTTCAGCCAAATTACCTCTTTTGCTTTAAAGGGCAAACTTGTTTTCTTTGATTATGATGACACCCATCATTTCTTGACAGCTCATTTGGGTGAACAAGATAAAGCCCGTGGAACTAGGATTGAGGGGAAATGCATCTGACTCTGACGACAAAAATGACTGGAGAATCTCTTTTCCTTGAATCCTAATATGATCATTTCATGTCCTTTTTAATGCCACCAACCTTAATATTTAAATCATTTCCAACTTAAGCATCTCCGTTTAAAATTCCTGCCCTGAGAGTGAAGCAAATTGTTAATGGATGGGAAACTTTAATTGGATATTCCCTTTATTTGTCATTAATTCTGCTGATGAACTTTATAAATGGAAATATATCTTTATCATGCAAATTATACCTCGTCTTCATTCAAACAGGCTTGTTGGATATTTTATTAATTTTGCTCTTAGAATATTTTGAGGAAAAAAAAGATTTGAACTAAATTATATATTTTTTCCCCCTGGAGAGAAGGAAAAAACCCAACACTTAACAACTACCCTACAAATCCAAACTGGCAAGTGGAAAAGTCAGAGGGTGCTAAAAAAAAAAAAAAAAAAAAAAAAAAAACCAAAACAACTGGAGTGTGGGAAATGGATTTCTCTCTCTCTTTTTAAATTCACTCTTAATTTAGGTTCGGGTTACATGTGCAGGTTTGTTATATAGGTAAATTTCATGTCATGGGGGTTTGGTGTACAGATTATTTCATCACCCAGGTAATAAGCATAGTACCTGATAGGTAGTTTTTCCATCCTCATCCGGATCTCATTTTAAGGAATACCATTTTAACATTAGCTAAGTAAGTTCTTGAGAACTTACTGTGTAGCAGACACTGTTCTGAATGCTATATACGAATTAATTCCTTTAATCCTTGCAACAACCCTATGAGGTAGGTGCTATTATTACCTCTATTTCACAGATGAAGAAAGGGAGACAGAGAGAGAGGTTAGATGATTCTAGTTAGTTTACAGCTAGGAAGTGACAGGGCCTGCACCCCATCAGCACTATTCTGTCCAGTCTCTTGATTTTAAGATTGACTTCTGGCCGGGCGCAGTGGCCCACGCCTGTAATGCCACCACTTTGGGAGGCTAAGGCAGGTTGATCACTTGAGGTCAGGAGTTTGAGACCAACCTGGCCAACATGGTGAAACCCTGTCCCTACTAAAAATACAAAAATTAGCTGGGCATGGTGGTGGGCACCTGTGGAGGCTGAGGCGGGAGAATTGCTTGAACCTGGGAGGTGGAGGTTGCAGTGAGCCGAGATTGCAGCACTGCACTCCAGCCTGGGTGACACAGTGAGACTCTGTCTCAAAAAAAACAAAAACAAAAAACAAAAAAACCAAGGTCTTGCTATGTTGCCCAGGCTGGTCTTGAACTCCTGGGCTCAAGAGGAATTTTCTTTTTAGCCTCAGAAAGATCTCACTACCCTCCAAACCTCTAGCTTTCTTCCGAACTCTGTATGTTTTATCTGAGGCTTTCAAGTCTAGGGAGGGGGAAAGTGAGGGGCTAGAAAGAAGCAACAGATTCATGATGAAACCTGCTATCCCAACCAACTACTATACAGTAGGTGCTCAATAAAGAAATCACTGTTGCGGTTGGGCTCAGTGGCTCACACCTGTAATTCCAGCACTGTGGGAGGCCGAGGCAGGTGGATCACCTGAGGTCAGGAGTTTGAGACCAGCCTGGGCAATATGGCGAAACATCTCTACTAAAAATACAAAAATTAGCCGGGTGTGGTGAAACATGCCTGTAATCCCAACTACTTGGGAGGCTGAGGCAGGAGAATCACTTGAACCAGGGAAATGGAAGTTGCAGTGAGCTGAGATCGCACCACTGCACACTCCAGCCTGGGTGACAGCGTGAGACTCCGTCTCAAAAAAAAAAAAAAAAAAAAAGAGAAAAAAAGAGAAAAGAAAAAGAAATCACTGTTGAATAAATGAGATGGCAAACCCAGATTTACCAACAGGCTTGTCTCCTCACTGGGAGATGCTGGCATAATAGGATAATGTTGTTTTGCAAAATATATATGTCCTGAATTGGAGCCAGAAAAGAGAGTCATATTTTCATGATAGAACTGTAGGCCAACAATTGGCCTATGAATTCTTTTGCATCCCTTTACTCAGGGCTTGGAATTTTTTAAACAAAAGTTTTAAATGTAATGAATTTTTTACTTTTTCATAGTTGAGTGGTTTTTTTTTTCTTTCTGTGACTAATTTTGAACTATTACCCAATCCTCCTCTCTTGTTCTTTTTGAGAACCTGTGTTTTATGGTTTACAACTGGTCTGTAAAAGATTCCCAGGCTAGGGCTGCAGCAATGAATGCTGGAGGTATTGACAGTTGGGACCCTGTTTGTAATGCTGGCTGGGTGGCTGCAGGCTCCAGGATTATCTGGTGCTTTGGAGACAGAGGACATGGGATAGTGACTCAGATTGGGAGGGAACATGCCCCCCGGGACAGATTTCTATGTTGCTGGTTATGATGAAATACTTTCCACTGACCACAAGCTATATAGCCTTGGGCAAGTCCACTTGATCTTCTGGGCTTTCATTTCCTCATTACTGAAGTGGAAACGAAAAACACATTTGGAATGCAATTCCAGTGTCTCACCACTTCCTGGCTGTGTGGCTTTGGGTAAGTCGATTAACCTCTCTAAGCCTTGACGTTCTACCTGTGAAATGGGACACAGCACTGTTGAGGGAATGAAATGAAATCCTTGCTCAAAAGTGTTACGCTTTTATGACTTTTAGTACTACTTCAAAAATTATGTTAATATCAACACTTTAATGTTTCTTAAAATAGATGTGCTTTTCCACAAAATAATATGGTATATGTTTTTGTATCAAAGGCTTTATAAAAAGTCAAAACAGAAGCAGTTTTTACTCCTTTTTACTATTTTGTTTTTAATTTTGCTGGTTTCTGCATTATTCATGTTCTCCTGTTAGTGACCGAAGAAGACCAAGTTCCCTTAAATCACTCCCCATTGTCCAGTCTCCCCTCCTTATCAATCAGTTCATCAGGAATTTTAATTCCTCTTTTGGTTACAGTGTCACTTTAGAAATGCTTATTTCTGGTTATATCTAAGTGTAGACAGCATCACTTTGGCAGTTTCAGACAGAAGGAAGAATTTCCTAGTAGTGAATTTAGATTATTCTATAATCAACTTCTCCAACTTGAAAAAAATATTTAACTACTACACACCTATTAGAATGGACAAAATCTAGAACACCGACAACTCCAAATGCTGGTGAGGATGTGAAGCAGAAACTCTGTCATTGCTGGTGGGAATGCAACATGGTGCGGCCACTTGGGAAGACAGTTGTTTTCTTACAAATTTAAACCTGCTCTTACTGTACGATCCAGTAATTGCACTCCTTGGTGTTTACCCAAAGGAGTTGAAAACTCATGTGCACACAAAAACCTGCACACACAAAAAGCTTATGGATATTTATAGCAGCTTCATTCACAACTGCCAAAATTTGGAAGCAACCAAGATGTCCTTCAGGAGCTGAGTAGATAAACAGTGGGGCATCCCGACAATGGAATACAGGATTATTCAGTGTTAAAAAGAAATGAGCTGTCAAGCCACGAAAAGACATGGAAGAAACTTAAATGCATATCACTAAGTGAAAGAAGCCAATCTGAAGAAGCTGCATATGGTATCACTCCAACTATATGACATTCTGGCAAAGGCAAAACTATGGAGATAGTAAAAAGATCAGTGTTGTCTAAGGGCTGGGGGAAGGGAGGGATGAATAGGCAGAACAGGGAGGATTTTTAGGGCAGTGAAAATACTATGTACCTTACTACAATGATGGATACCATCATTATACATTTGTCCAAATTCACAGAATGTACAACACCAAGCGTGAACCCTTATCCCTTATGTAAACTATGGAATTTGGATGCTGCTGCTGATGTGTCAATGTAGGTTCATCAACTGTAACAAATGCACCACTCTGGTGGGGGAGGTTGACGGTGGGGCAGGCTGTGCATGTGGGAATAGGGGGTATGTAGGAACTCTCTCTACCTTTCTCTCAATTTTGCTGTGAATCTAAAACTGCTTAAAAAATAAAATCTTAAGGTTGTAACCCTTTACTGGGCAGTGAAATCAGTTTGCCAACTGGGACTAGAGTTAAAATTAAACGAAACAGGGTTGGGTGCGGTGGCTCACTCCTGTAATCTTTGGGATTACAGGACTTTGGGAGCACTTTGGGAGGCCGAGGTGGGTGGATCACCTGAGGTCAAGAGTTCGAGACCAAGCCTGGCTATCATGGTGAAACCCAGTCTCTACTAAAAATACAGAAATTAGCAGCGCATGGTGTTGGGCACCTGTAATTCCAGCTACCTGGTAGGCTGAGGCAGGAGAATCGCTTGAACCCAAGAGGCGTAGGTTGCAGTGAGCTGAGATTGCACCACTGCACTCCAGCCTGGGCAACAGAGAAAGGCTCTGTCTCAAAAAAACAAAACAAAAAACAGCCTATCTCAAACCCGTCCTGCTCTCAGGCACTAATGTATAATGTTCCTTTTGTCAGAAACCAACCCCCCAGGAATAATTTCTCCCTAGATTAACAATTTCTCATTCTTTAGGTCTTAGCTCAATGGCTACCCCTCCTCAGACTGGAACAGACAGCACTTTACAACCTGTGGAAACTCTCTCACCTTTCCTGCATAGTACTAATCACACGTGTAATTTTTTTTTTTTTACAGCTCTATTGAGGTATAATTTACATTACCATAAAATTCACCCATTGTAAGTGTAAAACTCAGTGACTATTTTTGTAAATGTATCTGAAGTTGCCACATCACTACAATCCAGTTTTAGAACATTTCTATCACTCCCCCCAAATTCCCATGAGCTAATCTGCAAACAATCTCTGCTTCCACTCACATTTTTTGTTGTGGTTGTTTTGTTTTTGAAACTGAGTCTCGCTCTGTCGCCCAGGCTGGAGTGCAGTGGCGTAATCTCGGCTCACTGCAACCTCCACCCCCCTGGTTCAAGCAATTCTCGTGCCTCAGCCTCCCAAGTAGCTGGGATTACAGGTGCGTGTTACCACGCTTGGCTAATTTTT